>NC_000024.10:21741441-21747863 GCF_000001405.40 Homo sapiens
TTTGTATGCCACAGAAGCAGACAAATTCCTGTTTAACTGTGATATAATGAGCTTTCATTACAGTTTTAACCATGGCCATTGTACACCTTTTGTAATGTACAGGTAGGTAGTATTTCAATCTCATGTTTTCCCAACAGGCTCTGCATCTGCATGGGCTACAGGTCAGAATGTTTGTCTTCAGCAAAGAACGTCCTTGAGACTGATAAAAACAACAATGATGGGTCCTCTGGATATAAAAATCTGATGTCAATGTTTAACTAACTTTAAGATTATAACACAGAACTGAGGAACAATATCTAGAGCTCTAGTTGACAAACTGATGGGTTCATGGCACTGCTAACCCAAGATTAAACAATATGGGAATTGATTACATGGCACTGCATGAATGGATAAAGAATGTGTAAAAATTTTACAGCTTTTTTTGATTTGGAAGATTCCTGGTTCTTTAACATTCTATGTCTCTGGATTTAAGAATTTTTTATTAAGTTAACCCTAACTCATAACAACTTAATAGATTATACTTTTGTAAACAGAAATGGAACATTTGTGAACCAAAAATGAAATTTTAAGCCCAACCTGCCCCAGCCATCTGAAAGGACCCCTCTTTTTGGCTAAGGGTATTCCAAAGTTCGTTCAGGTCCTAAGAGGAAGGAGGATCAGACATACTTCATTATACACTCCTACCTTTTGCAATTCAGAAAAAGTTAACCATCACTAACATCAACACAGACCTTAAGTCTGATAAGAAATATTTATAATCCTTTCTCTAGCTTCCTCTTCATGATAAAACTTTGGTTTCTACACCCTTTGTTATTTATTGTAACCCAGATATTTCTTTCTATTGATTCCATGTCTCTGGATAACTTAACTCTTTAAACCAACGGCCAATCAGAATGCACCACCACCCATTTTAAGTTGTCCCACTTTTGGGAAATAAACCAATGTATATCTTACATGTATTTGATTGATTTCTCATGTCTCCCTAAAATGTATAAAACTAGATTGTTCCCAGAACAGCTTGGGCACACGTTTTTCATAATCTCCTGAGAAGGGTTGTATCATGGGTGACTGGTCACTCTTATTTGACTGAGAGTAAATATCTTTAAATATTTTACAGAATTTGAGGGTTTTCATCAGGACATTTCTCTTTCATCTCTCTGCCCATTCCTCCAGAATTCTGAAACTCTTATAAAATGTTCTTATTTTCATGACAATATAGTTATTTGTAAAAGTTCAGTAAACATCTGTTCACCTTTTAACAGGACATATTTGAGAAATTTGTTCATATTATGCAGGCTTTCACTGGAAGTCACATTTGAACAATACAGGCTCATGGTCGAGTGCTAACTGACTTTTACTAGGTTCTGATTTTATTTAAAATTGTGAAGATTGAGAAAACAGAAGGGCCAATTTCTTTAATTAATATGCTATAATGTCAAAGTTTGATAGAGTTAGTATATCTCAGCTAAAGCAGGATGTCAATCTTTATAAAACAGCATTTTTGGTACCATAACAAATTCATTCTCAATTAAACTTTGACTGTCTAAACAAAAGAAAAATGGTTGCTAACGAGGTATACATCATATATTTAAACTTATATAATGATGTAAGTTCTAATATACACACTTAAAATTTTTTCTGGTTGGGCACAGTGGCTCACACCTGTAATCCCAGCACTTTTAGAGACCAAGGCGAGTGGATCACGAGGTCAGGAGATCCAGACAATCCTGGCTAACTCGATGAAACCACGTCTCTACTAAAAATGCAAAAAAAAAAAAAATTAGCCAGCATGGTGGTGGGTGCCTGCAGTCCGAGCTACTCAGGAGGCTGAGGCAGGAGAATGGCATGAACTGGGAGATGGAGCTTGCAGTGAGTGAAGATCACACAACTGCTTGCCAGCTTTGGGGACAGAATGAGACTCTGTCTCAAAAAAAAAATCTATATTGTTTCAACTACTTTAGCACTGTAAGAAAAATGAACCATGAAAGCATGAGTAAAATTGGTGATGGAGGGTGCAATGTGTCCCTGGCCTTGACCTGTCACGGTGGTGCTGCTTAATACCCCTCCTTTCTCTGTACCAGGATTTCTCCCCAGAAACAAGCCCAGA
Organism: Homo sapiens; assembly: GCF_000001405.40. Taxonomy (NCBI): domain Eukaryota; kingdom Metazoa; phylum Chordata; class Mammalia; order Primates; family Hominidae; genus Homo; species Homo sapiens. Next base: position 21,743,549 of record NC_000024.10, read on the forward strand.
TCATCTGTGAAGCACATGTTGGTGGCTGTGACAATGCAAGGTCACAGCCTCACTCAAGAAACACTTTTGTAACGTCAGAGTTGGAGGCCAGGGTTGTGGAAGTAAGGCCTAGGGCAGTGATCCCTCCTCAGTACTGGGTGCCACAGACAGAACACCTTTTCCTCAGCTTTCCTCACCTGGCAACCAGACTTCCCAATGTTGTGGCCTTTCCAGGGGAGAGGAGGTGTCATCCTCACCGTGGATGCAGACCCAGGTATCCCAAGTGCACTGAAGTCATGTCCTGGGTGGCATCTGAGTAGAAGGAAGGCCTGTTTGATGCCCCCAGGACGCTGCCCTGCAGTATGTTGCATGGGCTTCTTGCATCTTCTCCATGAGCCCTCAGTGGCAGCCATAAAGAATCTCTGAAATACAGGGAGGATGAATCCAGCCAGTAATCTCAGGAAGTGGAAGTGAAATAGAGTCTACCTTCCTGTGCCTTGATAGGAATGAAGACAAGAAGAAGCAAAGAAGATGGCCAATAGACCACACTCCATTGATTTCCTCTATATCAGCAATAATGGATAGGAATAATTGGAATTTGAAACATTTACACACCATTTACAATAGTACTCCCCAAACTGAATCAATTTGTAGGGATTCAATCAGGCTGGTGGAAAAATTTTAAAAATGGTTATAGATGCATACACAAACCTTCCTGGAAGGCCTGAAGGTTTTTACCAAAGTCTCAGGATAAGGTTATGGATGAAGGCAACCTAATCCTTTCATTGAGTAAACAGCTTAAAATGAGTACAAAGAAAGGTAGAGTAGGTTATCTAGCTAGCTTGTTTACCCATGTGATCTTAAAACTAACGTTTGATGTACCATGGGTCCTTAATTGCATTCTACTCAGGACGTCCCCATTGTCAATTACCCTCTAGTAGTGTTTACTAAGGATCTTTGTCAATTAATCTTTACATAATAAATGCGAGTCTCACTGAATGATCAAAGTCAAAGTCACAAGTGTTTACAGTACTCTCCAGGGAGCGTGTAAGCAGTTCAGACACAGCTGGACTGGCATAGCAGAATATCTGTTTGTCAATGTACTTCATTCATTCATCGCTAGGTCAGGGTCTGTGGGTCAGACCCCTGCATCTGGTGCTCCTGTGTGAGGAGCACTACCACAGTTGGTGCCCTTGTCTGAGGAACACTGTGAAGGGAATGTGATGGATCCCCCAAAAATGAAGGTGAAGAGGGACTGTACAGTCAAGTCAGTGAGTAATCAGTAAGTCATTGGTGCCCACTTGGGATTTCCAAATTCGGAGAGGATTGGTCCAGCTGAGGTTTCATCAGGAGACAGCAGTTATCAACTGAACAGAAACAGTAAATGAAAGTGTTGAAACAATTGCTTAAGGCTGGCAGAGCATCACTTTTGCCGGCTCAATTAAGGGACCAAATAATGCAAACTGTTGTAACCCAAAGCCCACGGTTCCTAGAAGAAGGAACTCTAGACATAGAACTCTGGGAACAAGTGGGGAAAAATCTTAAACAACATCAGAAGCAAAGGCAATGGTTCCCAGTAACAGCTTTAATACTACAGGCTTTAATTAGAGCAGGCTTTTTTCCGTTATACACAGAAGAGCCTAAAAAGGGGAAGCAGGAGAGAACGTGACCTGCCTTATCACTTCCTCTTCCCTCAGTGGCGGGCAAAAGCTGGCCAGCGGTGAAGGAAGTGGCACAAGTAAAAAGCCAACAAAGGAAAAAAAGCAGCACCTTTACAAGTGCAAAGCAGCCACCACTCAGGGACCCTCCTGGTCAGCTCTCTAGCCCTACAGGAGACACACCCACAGCAAAATATCTTGTTTCTTGTTTACAGGTGACATCCCAGATTATAATGCTCTACTAAGATGTACGTAAAATTTAACAATTTGAAAAACCTCTTTCTAATTGTGGCCACCGTTACCTCTCCTTACACCTAACATGATTCTCTCCAAATCCAATTTAAATAAAAAGTAACCTCTAAAGGGAGAGACATTACAATAGGACCATGGGTTAGTTAAGGAATAATTACAAGTGAACTTTCCTCCCCACTAGAATAGAGTTTCCTGATTGCAAAGTTATTCATCTTATCGGTGATATTCTACTAACAGCCCTTAATATTCCGCCATTTTTGTGATTCCCAAAAGTCTAGTAAATGCTTTACTGACAAAATAGTTCACTCCTCCACACCTAATGCTTTAACACTGTTTACACTTGGTTCCGATCAACATGGAAAGGCAGAAGTCTAGTAGATGCCACATAATTCACTCACTCAGTCTGAGTTTACTAGCAATCAGAGAGCTAAAGTTAAAACCTTAATATTGACTCTAAAAAGCTTTTACAGCCCTAAGTAAGTCCACTCTACACTCTACCCTATGTGCTCATTTTTTCTGTCTTCAGCAATGGTGAGACCAAAGTACACATCCTATTTTATCACACATATTTAAGTATACAGCTCTCTGCCTGGACCATTGTCTTATGGCAATAATCAAGCAGACCTTCAAGTTATGACATCACTGCTTGACCAAGTCACCCAATTGCATCAATTTTTCCACCAAAATTGGAGAAACTTATCTAAACAATTTAAACTTACCCAGACACTGGCTAAACACATTATCCTACAATGCCCAGCTTGCCAGCTTACAGGCACATTCCCTCCTTCAACAGGTGTTAACCCTAGAGGACTAGAACCTAATAAGTTATGGCAAACAGATGTACACACATCCTTGAATTAGGAAAAATAAGATATGTATATGTATCAGTTGACTCCAACACTCATTTAATTAGTCCACATACTCTGCCTGGAGAGTCAACTCAATATATCATTAAACATCTTATTTTAACTTTTGCATTTATGGAGTGACCCACAAAAATTAAGACTGATAATGGTATAGCTTATGCCAGCTCACAATTTCAACTATTTTGTCACACCTGGGATATCCAACATTCCACAGGTATCTCATATAACCCCCAAGGACAAGCAATAGTAGAACATGACAACTTCACTTTTAAAAATGTGCTCAAAAAACAAAAAAGAGGCAGAAGTGGTAAAGACCCTGCAACATTATTGGCAAAGACTTATTTATCCAACAGCTGTAGAAAAGCACTTTGCTAAAGCCTCTCAAGGCATAAAACCTGCAGTTTTATGGAAGGATGTAAACAGTAATGAATGGCGTGGTCCTAGTGAATTATTAACATGGAGAAGAAGGTATGCTTGTGTCCACACCCCTTCAGGTCCTCTTTGGATTCCAATACAAAGCATCAAACCATTCCATGGCAAGGCTAGGACTCAATCTGGTACCAGAAATGAAGGCATTAACCATGCAAGACCCACAGCCCCAGATGATGTGGCTTCCACAGAGGCCACAGGTCCTGGGCATTATGCTGAAGAAACAGAAGGCTAAGCAAATCCTGCTCTGGACACAGACACCATTCACTTCAGCTAATTTATTTCTTTTTATTCTCTCACTGTGCCTATTACCTGTACTTTCTACACTCTAATAAACCCATCTTCTAAATCTGACATTTTTCAGCCCTGTCATCTGGGGAGATACTCCATTTCCAGCTTCTAACAACATAACTGCTTGGCTGGAAGGAGTTAACAAACCCCCAGTGGAGTACCTTAGTAACAGCACTCATCAAACTGAAGTACCAGGTCACACTTTGACTGGAAAAGAATGTTGCTAATTGTACTCATGATTGTTTTGTGTTATTTTCCAATTTTAGGATGCAAAGCCAGAATAAGAGCAATGACTGCCTCGCCTGAAAAAAACTGTTCCTGCACACATCTACACTTTCCAATCAAAAGGACTTGATGAAAAAATGAAAAAGGGGGAGATGTAGGAATTTAATCAGGCTGGTGGGAAATATTTTAAACATAGTTATATAAATAAATGCAAACCTTCTTGGAAGGCCTGAAAGTTTTTACAAAAGTCTTAGGATAAGGTTACAGCTAAAGGCAATCTAATCCTTACCTTAAGTAAACAGCTTAAAGTGGGTACAAAGAAAGGCAGAGTAGTGTATCTGGCTAGCTTGTTTACCCAGATAAAGCAAACTTTTGATGTACCATGGGTGCTTAATTGCTTTCCACTCAGGAAGTCCACAGTGTCCGCTATCCTCAGTGTTTACTCCCTACCTTTGTCAATTAATCTTTACCAAATAAATGCAAGTCTCACTGACTGATTGAGGTGGAAGTCACAGGTGTTTACAGTACTCTCCAGGGAGTCTGTAAATGCCACATACACTCAGCTGGACTGGCAAAACAGAATAGTTTTGTGTCAGGGTACTTTATTCATCCATT
>NC_000024.10:21748371-21750013 GCF_000001405.40 Homo sapiens
GAAGTAAGCATTCCTGTATTAGGCTGACTCTTCCACAGGCAGCAACAGTCACAGCTCAGACTCAAGAAAAGTCTTGATAAACACTATCTGAGATGCTCATACATGAAGAAATGTGCTCTGGATAGTCTCCTAGCACTCCCTCAAAACAGGGAGTAGAAAAACAAATTTTGCTTTGTTTTAGTGTATGAGTTTGTAGATTCTTGTTCTCTGTAGCTAGTAACTTCAAGTATTCTGTTTTATCAAAGAAGTACAGAGAACGTCACAGAAAGCCTGAGCAGACCTGAACTACAGCTGTCTGGGCATCATAGAGAAGGTTATAAGATAAACCAATGCAAGGTTCTTTAGAGCAAAACCTACCTAATAGATATCTGGGTTGCTTGGCAAGTGTCATGTGTAATTCTGAATTATGAACCTGTCTCAATTTTATAAATTGTTCTGCCTCTGTAACCTTGCTTTTGTGCCACTGTAACTGTAAGCCTGCTTCAAGCTAGCCTACCCCTTTTTTGAAGATGTGTATAAGTCAACTGCTGTCTTTGTTCTGGGCCCAGCTTTTTGGATGTTGAGTCCACTGAGTCTGAGTGCACTCAGTAAAAATCTTCCTGTACCCCAAGACCTCTCTGGGACTCCTCATTCCACAACAAAATCTCATCTCTACCAAAAATGCAAAAAAATAAGCCAAACATGGTGGTGCACACCTGTGGTCTCAGCTACTTCGGGCGCTTAGGTCACATAATCTCAGTGAGCTGAGATCATGCCACTACATTCCAACTTGGGTGACAAAGTGAGACTCTGTCTCAATAAATATAGGAAAGAGGTTTCTTGTTTAGAAGCAGTACACTAATTATTGTTTCTGCCAAATCCCAATCAAAATCCAGGCAAGGATATCAACAAACTCTTCCTAAAATTAGAATGAATGAAATAAGACTATAGAAGGACAAAGTTAAAAAACTTACACTTCTGGGTCAGAATACTTACACTAAGCTAGAGCAATAAAGTGTGGCATTGATGATTTAATAGACAAGTAGATAAGTGGAACAGAATTGGCAACCCCCAAACAGACCCAACTCAACAGATTTTGTCAATGGCACAAAGTATTCAATGGAAAAGATAAATCTGTTCCACAAGTGGCAACAGAACAACTGGAAACTAAATGAAAAAAATAAACATAAACACAAACTTCATAGTTTTCCTGAAAAAAATTACTCAAAAATATTCATACATTGACATTTTCTAAAGCAAATTTGTAAGAGAAGAAAATCTGCATATCCTTGGATTTGGTAATCAGTTATTGTCCAGTCTGTGAAAGAAACAAAAATTGGTAATGTAGCCTTTATTAAAATTTGAAATAGCCACTCCATAAAACACATTTTTAAAGTCAGGCATGGTGGCTCATATTTGTAATCCCAGCACTTTGGGAGGCTGAGGTGGGCAGATCACCTTAGGTCAGGAGTTCCACATCAGCATGGCCAACATGGTGAAACATTTTCTCTATTAAAATACAATAAAATTAGCTGGACATGGTGGCAGTCATGACATTCCAGTTACTCTTGAGGTAGAAGGAGGAGAATCCCTTGAACCTGAGAGCCAGAGGTTGCAGTGGGCTGAGATCACACCATTGCACTCCAGCCAAGGTGACAGGGCA
>NC_000024.10:21750314-21789281 GCF_000001405.40 Homo sapiens
CTGTACTTTACAGTCTTGCTTGTAGCACACGTGAGCTGTGCTTCTCCCTCAAGACCAGTGTTTATTATGGGCCAGCAGAACCAGGTTCCCAGGGTATGGGGGTCTCCGTTGTGTAGGAGCTGAGACCAGGTTGGCTCAAGTCAGTCTCCCAGTGAGGGCAGAATTATAGGAGACATATGATTTGAGGGGGAGAAGTCCCTCAAATAGAAGAAGTAATGGTTTTCTCCATGGGAGTATTCCATCCACTGCAAGGCCACACCTTGATGAAGCTCACGAAGACATATTCTCCTCTTACCCATACTGATCTCTGCCTGGCCACCCTTGGACCACAGATCTGCTTCTGTTACTAAAATTTAGCTGAATTTTATAGTTTCATGTAGATATGCTAAGTCCTTGGGTCTTTGTGTTTTGTTCTGATTTGGCTCCTTTTATTCAGCCCTGCTGCTTTGAGAGTCACCCTGTGGTGAGTGCATAAGCAATCCATTCCTTTGCACACTGAGCCACATTCCAGGGTGTGGATACGCCACAGCTTCTTCACCCTTCTCCTGTGGATGAGCATTTGGGGCTCTCAGTTGGGTCTAGTATACGTGGGGCTGCTGTGAACATTTTTTATGTATGTAGCCTGTGAACTTGTCTTCATTTCTCATGGTTCACTTTGTGAGTACAGTGGCCACATCATGTCCTGGTAGGTATGAACTGACCTCAATAAGGAACCACTGATTCTTGTCCTAAGTGTTTAATCTATTCCCTCCTTTCCCTCCTGCTTCCCCTACTTTAGTCATAATAACCTCTTGTCTCGTTCACACTTCAGTGCAGTAACTTTTCAGCATACTGTCCTTTCTTTACATTTGAAATCACCAGCTTTTTCTCTATGTGCTGGCTGTGATGCCCTCTCTAAACTTGCATTCTCTGGCCTGTATGTAACACAATCTCCTCCAAAAACCCTATCTATGAAAGGGTTTTAGGAAAAGAGTCTGTTACCTAATGAGTGTCAAATACCTACCTTGGCTCTGGATGGGAGAAAGAAGACTTGGTGGGTCTTGTCATCCATTGTCCCAGAAGATAGAGCTCATCTTTGTTGATAAAAGGAAGTCTGGGTGTGTCCTGGTTGCATGTTCATGTGACTCACAAGCTTTTTCTAAACAACACCTGGAGACCTGGCTGTGGGCTGGAAACTGAGTATGAGGCCACTTGGACTCTGTGTGATTGCAGGTAAGTCACTCAGTCACCTGATCCTGGCTGTCCCTTTGCACAAGGGACTACCCATTTCTTGCAGAGTTGCTGTTAGTTCACCTGAGCAAGACAGCTGTGTGTGGTGGTGCTCAGAAAAAGCTAATTTACCTTTATCGAAATGGGACAAACCATGGATATTATGTGCTGAGGTCTGGATTACAGCAGAACAAGATTCAGAAGACCTTGTAAACTCTGAGGAGGTATCACTGATCACTGGATGTCTGTGAAGGTAGCAAATGGAAAGTGACCTGGAGTTGGAAATGGCCAGTTAGTTGGTCTGTTACAGGTAGTTACACAGGAATGAGTGGGGGAGCAGAGGTTTCTCCCATCCCACCCACCCACCAGGAATGTCAGGTCATTGGGTGATGGTTGGACAGTTTTCATATTGCCTCTCTAAAAATGATAATTTAGCAGCTGGAGCCAGAGAGATACAAGCTTCTACTGATCCACAGCTGTTAACATTAAAGTGTTAATTAAATGCAGGAACCGGGGAGAAGGAAAAAGGGCTTCCAATAAAATCTCAGTTATTGGGCAAGTGAGCTCAGGCATGCACATTAAGAGACAAACCCTCAGTGTATGACTTTCAGAGATTGCTTTTTAATAAATGTCCACTCCTGCTATGAAACTTCCCTCAGTATCTTTCACTACTTTATACCCCTCAGTCAAATTCTTTCTTCTAAGAAGGCAAGAAGTGCAGTTACTACAGACCTGGATGGATTTGCCACCAGTAACTCAGATACCTTCCACTGTTAACAGGTCTAGGAGCTGGTGGACAGTGTGGCTGGAGTATGTGTCCAGAATGGGGTTGGCCAGGCTCCAGGCCATTCTCGACTGTGGAGGGACTTGAACCCCAAGGTGATGGCACCCCGTGGAGAGAGCTCACCATGGTTGGAGAATGCTGGGAAAGGAATTTTGTCTTTTTATTGAGGTAAAATTTCCATAACATAAAATTAACTTTCTACATGAATAATTCAGTGACCTTTAGTACATGCACATTTCTGGGCAACTACCACCTCTTAGTTCCAATTTTTATTATCCCAAAAGGAAATCCCATACCTACTAAAGAGGTACTTCCTAATCTGTCCTTTTTTTCTGACCCCTAGCAACCAGTAATCTGCTTTTTGTCTCTATCTACTTACTTATTCTGGCTATTTATATAAATGAAATCATAGAGTATGTGACCATTTATGTTCACCTTCTTTAACCAAAATGGTTATGAAGTTCCTCCACATTGCAGTGTTAGAGTTGCAATATTTTTACAGCTGAATATTATGCCATTGTATGGGAATACTAAATTTTGTTTTCCTATTACTTGTTGGTAGACATTTGGTTTGTTTCTACTTTTAGTTATTGTGAATAATGCTGCTATGAACATATGTGTACAGGTTTTTTGTTTGAATACCCATTTTACGTTCTTCTGTGTATATATCTGGGAGTGGATTTGCTGGGTTCTATGGTAATTCTGTGTTTAGCTTTTTGAAGAACCACCAGACTATTTTCCACAGCAACTGCACAATTTTACATTCACATTTCTCCATTTTCATGTTAACCCTTGTTAGCTTTTCCTTAATAATAGCAATTATAATGGATATGAAGTGATGTTTTCCTGTGGCTTTGACTTGTGTTTCCCTGAGGTGAGGATGTTGGACATATTTTCATGTGCTATTTGTGTATCTTTGGAGAAAAACCCTTGCAAGTCCTCTCTCTCTCTGTCTCTTTTTTTTTTTTTTTTTTTTTTTTTTTTGGTGGAGTCTTGTTTTGTCACCCAGGCTGGAGTGTAATGGTGTGATCTCAGCTTACCGCAACCTCTGCCTTTTGGGTTCAAATGTTACTCCTGTCAAAGCCTTCTGAAGAACTGGGACTACGGGTGTGCACTACCACACCCTGCTAATTCTTGCATTTTTAGTAGAGACGGGGTTTTATCATGTTGGCCAGGATGGTCTCAATCTCCTGATCTTGTGAACCACCTGCCTATCTACTTTTTCTTTTTCTTCTGTTCATACAATCATTGACAAAACCAGAATCAATAAGCACATTAAAAGATGCTCAACATCACTAGCCATAAGCTAAACAAATATCTAAACCACAATGAGATTACCATGTTTTACACATTGGAATGTCTATTTTTTTAAAGGAAGAGTTGGAGAGTATGTGGAAAAAGTAGAACTCTTGTGCATTGCTGGTGAGAAAGTGAAATGGTGGTGATGGTTGCACAACTTGAGAATAGTTAATTTCACTGAAATCCTCACTTAAAATGTTTGAAATGGTAAATTTTGTTATGTATGTTTTATCTCATACAACAAAATATTTCTCAGAACTGTTCCTAAGATAGTTCTATGTGTGAAGAAAGAAGGTGCTCCACTTCTAGGATGAGTAGGAGCCTTTTTATTCATGCTGGTACTACATACTCTTGGCTCTTCCACATGCCCAGCATGATCGCACCAGCCAGAGGAGTTGACTCCCACCTGGCCCATTTGTGCCTCTTTCCATCAGCCTGTTCTCCTACTCAGCTCACTACCTGCCACCTACAAACCACTTTAAATTACAGGTCAGTTTGCCATCGCTACACATTTCTTCTCTATAATGTCATGGAAATGGGATCATACAATATGTGGTCTCTTCAGACTGGCTTTTTCTGCTTTTCTTTATACGTGTATGATGCATTCACGGCTGTGCATGACCTCATAAATCATCCCTTTGTCTTGATGAATAGTATTCCATTTCATGGATTTACCTGGCTTGGTTATCATTTAAGGGTATCCTGATTCCTTAAAGTATTTGGCCATTATCAAGAGAGCAGGTATACAAAATTGCACGTGGTTTCTGGTTAATTGCGAGTTTCCAAAGTTGTTGTCTAAATACATCAGTGTGCAAATGTTAGCCTATATGGTTAGACTATGTTTAGCTTTGAAAAAAAAAAAAACTGCCAAAACTGTGGCTGAAGAAAAAAACACATTTTAACTTTGCTTTACAATTATGCATTCCACCAGCAAAGAACAAGTGTTCCTTTCACCGTTTTCATTGCATTTAAAAAATTTTTAGACATAATATAGATGGTCTGTGCTCTGTTTGTTAATTGGCTTTCCCCTGAGAGCAAGTGATTTTTAACATTATTTGGTTGTTATTGTTTGTTCATTATTCTATGATTGCTGCCAAAAAGCATGCATGTGCTGTGCCAAAGAGAAAGTGTTTAAAGAATATGCACTCTAAGCTCTACCTAGTAAAAACTTTTAAAAAAATGCTAGTACACATAGTCATTTATCCTGCTATTTGTTCTAATTTTATGGTTACTATAAGGAGATAGTAAACTCTAGCTAATGAGACAACGTGGTGAATTAGTGTGATGCAACTTAATGTAGAGAACGCTTTCAGTCAAGTGATTATTTTACTGGTGTTAAGGGAGCAACAGGAATTTCTTTAGTACAAGCTGTTTGTGTGGGACTTTTTTCCCTCTCACTCAGGCTGGAATACAATGGTGCAATCTTGGCTCACTGCAACCTCTGCCTCCTGGATTCATGCAATTCTCCTATCTCAGCCTCCTGAGTAGTTGAGTTTACAGGAGACTACCACCACATTCAGCTATTTTTTTTAATTTTATTTTTAGTAGGGACACTGTTTCCCTATATTGGCCAGTGTTGTCTCAAACAATTGACGGGTGACCCACCCTCCTCAGCCTTTCAAAGTGCTTGGATTACAGGCATGAGCCACTGTGCCCAGCTGAGCCAATTATTTTATCCCTTTATGGAGACAAGTGTGGGTTGAAAACCAACCTTCTAATACTTGTAAGTGCCTCAAGGCTGTTAGGATAAAAATAAAACTTCCAACCTAAGGATACTTGGCAACCTCCAGAACATTAAGAAAAGCTGAGAAATAAAACATTCAGCTTCCAGCTCATTTCAGGAGAGCATCACCAGTGCTTGGGGGACTCTTGGGCCCTGGAGGAAGGGCAGAGCTGGGATATGTGGGGATAGCCTTTGGAGCCACTGCTGCTTTGGCAGCCACTGCTGCTCTTTAGGGGACAGCATGGAGCCTCAGCCTTCAGCAGAAGCAGCAGGAGATCAGTGAGCAATGTTTTGTGTGCCTGTTTTCCATCTCCATTATCTTCCTTAAGTGAGGTATCTATTCAGGTCTTTTCCTTTTAATTGTGTTATAGTCTTCAGTTTTAGAGTTTCTTTTCATATTTTGCATACAAGTCACTTTTCAGCCTGTGGCTTTTTGGTTCTCTTTGGATTCTATTCCTTTTCTTTCTTTTTTTTTTTTTTTTTAGACAGAGTCTTGCCCTGTCACCTTGGCTGGAGTGCAATGGTGTGATCTCAGCCCACTGCAACCTCTGGCTCTCAGGTTCAAGGGATTCTCCTCCTTCTACCTCAAGAGTAACTGGAATGTCATGACTGCCACCATGTCCAGCTAATTTTATTGTATTTTAATAGAGAAAATGTTTCACCATGTTGGCCATGCTGATGTGGAACTCCTGACCTAAGGTGATCTGCCCACCTCAGCCTCCCAAAGTGCTGGGATTACAAATATGAGCCACCATGCCTGACTTTAAAAATGTGTTTTATGGAGTGGCTATTTCAAATTTTAATAAAGGCTACATTACCAATTTTTGTTTCTTTCACAGACTGGACAATAACTGATTACCAAATCCAAGGATATGCAGATTTTCTTCTCTTACAAATTTGCTTTAGAAAATGTCAATGTATGAATATTTTTGAGTAATTTTTTTCAGGAAAACTATGAAGTTTGTGTTTATGTTTATTTTTTTCATTTAGTTTCCAGTTGTTCTGTTGCCACTTGTGGAACAGATTTATCTTTTCCATTGAATACTTTGTGCCATTGACAAAATCTGTTGAGTTGGGTCTGTTTGGGGGTTGCCAATTCTGTTCCACTTATCTACTTGTCTATTAAATCATCAATGCCACACTTTATTGCTCTAGCTTAGTGTAAGTATTCTGACCCAGAAGTGTAAGTTTTTTAACTTTGTCCTTCTATAGTCTTATTTCATTCATTCTAATTTTAGGAAGAGTTTGTTGATATCCTTGCCTGGATTTTGATTGGGATTTGGCAGAAACAATAATTAGTGTACTGCTTCTAAACAAGAAACCTCTTTCCTATATTTATTGAGACAGAGTCTCACTTTGTCACCCAAGTTGGAATGTAGTGGCATGATCTCAGCTCACTGAGATTATGTGACCTAAGCGCCCGAAGTAGCTGAGACCACAGGTGTGCACCACCATGTTTGGCTTATTTTTTTGCATTTTTGGTAGAGATGAGATTTTGTTGTGGAATGAGGAGTCCCAGAGAGGTCTTGGGGTACAGGAAGATTTTTACTGAGTGCACTCAGACTCAGTGGACTCAACATCCAAAAAGCTGGGCCCAGAACAAAGACAGCAGTTGACTTATACACATCTTCAAAAAAGGGGTAGGCTAGCTTGAAGCAGGCTTACAGTTACAGTGGCACAAAAGCAAGGTTACAGAGGCAGAACAATTTATAAAATTGAGACAGGTTCATAATTCAGAATTACACATGACACTTGCCAAGCAACCCAGATATCTATTAGGTAGGTTTTGCTCTAAAGAACCTTGCATTGGTTTATCTTATAACCTTCTCTATGATGCCCAGACAGCTGTAGTTCAGGTCTGCTCAGGCTTTCTGTGACGTTCTCTGTACTTCTTTGATAAAACAGAATACTTGAAGTTACTAGCTACAGAGAACAAGAATCTACAAACTCATACACTAAAACAAAGCAAAATTTGTTTTTCTACTCCCTGTTTTGAGGGAGTGCTAGGAGACTATCCAGAGCACATTTCTTCATGTATGAGCATCTCAGATAGTGTTTATCAAGACTTTTCTTGAGTCTGAGCTGTGACTGTTGCTGCCTGTGGAAGAGGTCAGCCTAATACAGGAATGCTTACTTCTTTTTCTTTTTAATTTTATTTTTCATTATATCTTTAATTTCCCTCCTCAGTTTCACCATGTAGCCCAGTCAGGTCTCCAACTCATGAAATCAAGTGATCTGCCTGCATCAGCCTCCTGAAGTGTTGTAATTACAGTCGTGTGCCACCATGCCTGGCCTGTCTGCATTTATTTATATTTCTTTTGATTTATCTCAATGGTGACTCATGGTTTTCTAAATGAATTTTGCTTATTTTGTTATATTTATACTTAATGGATGTGGTAGCACTCCTCACCAGGTGCTGGGGTCTGACGTGCAGACCCTGACCCATCAATGGATGAATAAAGTACCCTGACACAAAACTATTCTGTTTTGCCAGTCCAGCTGAGTGTATGTGGCATTTACAGACTCCCTGGAGAGTACTGTAAACACCTGTGACTTCCACCTCAATCAGTCAGTGAGACTTGCATTTATTTGGTAAAGATTAATTGACAAAGGTAGGGAGTAAACACTGAGGATAGCGGACACTGTGGACTTCCTGAGTGGAAAGCAATTAAGCACCCATGGTACATCAAAAGTTTGCTTTATCTGGGTAAACAAGCTAGCCAGATACACTACTCTGCCTTTCTTTGTACCCACTTTAAGCTGTTTACTTAAGGTAAGGATTAGATTGCCTTTAGCTGTAACCTTATCCTAAGACTTTTGTAAAAACTTTCAGGCCTTCCAAGAAGGTTTGCATTTATTTATATAACTATGTTTAAAATATTTCCCACCAGCCTGATTAAATTCCTACATCTCCCCCTTTTTCATTTTTTCATCAAGTCCTTTTGATTGGAAAGTGTAGATGTGTGCAGGAACAGTTTTTTTCAGGCGAGGCAGTCATTGCTCTTATTCTGGCTTTGCATCCTAAAATTGGAAAATAACACAAAACAATCATGAGTACAATTAGCAACATTCTTTTCCAGTCAAAGTGTGACCTGGTACTTCAGTTTGATGAGTGCTGTTACTAAGGTACTCCACTGGGGGTTTGTTAACTCCTTCCAGCCAAGCAGTTATGTTGTTAGAAGCTGGAAATGGAGTATCTCCCCAGATGACAGGGCTGAAAAATGTCAGATTTAGAAGATGGGTTTATTAGAGTGTAGAAAGTACAGGTAATAGGCACAGTGAGAGAATAAAAAGAAATAAATTAGCTGAAGTGAATGGTGTCTGTGTCCAGAGCAGGATTTGCTTAGCCTTCTGTTTCTTCAGCATAATGCCCAGGACCTGTGGCCTCTGTGGAAGCCACATCATCTGGGGCTGTGGGTCTTGCATGGTTAATGCCTTCATTTCTGGTACCAGATTGAGTCCTAGCCTTGCCATGGAATGGTTTGATGCTTTGTATTGGAATCCAAAGAGGACCTGAAGGGGTGTGGACACAAGCATACCTTCTTCTCCATGTTAATAATTCACTAGGACCACGCCATTCATTACTGTTTACATCCTTCCATAAAACTGCAGGTTTTATGCCTTGAGAGGCTTTAGCAAAGTGCTTTTCTACAGCTGTTGGATAAATAAGTCTTTGCCAATAATGTTGCAGGGTCTTTACCACTTCTGCCTCTTTTTTGTTTTTTGAGCACATTTTTAAAAGTGAAGTTGTCATGTTCTACTATTGCTTGTCCTTGGGGGTTATATGAGATACCTGTGGAATGTTGGATATCCCAGGTGTGACAAAATAGTTGAAATTGTGAGCTGGCATAAGCTATACCATTATCAGTCTTAATTTTTGTGGGTCACTCCATAAATGCAAAAGTTAAAATAAGATGTTTAATGATATATTGAGTTGACTCTCCAGGCAGAGTATGTGGACTAATTAAATGAGTGTTGGAGTCAACTGATACATATACATATCTTATTTTTCCTAATTCAAGGATGTGTGTACATCTGTTTGCCATAACTTATTAGGTTCTAGTCCTCTAGGGTTAACACCTGTTGAAGGAGGGAATGTGCCTGTAAGCTGGCAAGCTGGGCATTGTAGGATAATGTGTTTAGCCAGTGTCTGGGTAAGTTTAAATTGTTTAGATAAGTTTCTCCAATTTTGGTGGAAAAATTGATGCAATTGGGTGACTTGGTCAAGCAGTGATGTCATAACTTGAAGGTCTGCTTGATTATTGCCATAAGACAATGGTCCAGGCAGAGAGCTGTATACTTAAATATGTGTGATAAAATAGGATGTGTACTTTGGTCTCACCATTGCTGAAGACAGAAAAAATGAGCACATAGGGTAGAGTGTAGAGTGGACTTACTTAGGGCTGTAAAAGCTTTTTAGAGTCAATATTAAGGTTTTAACTTTAGCTCTCTGATTGCTAGTAAACTCAGACTGAGTGAGTGAATTATGTGGCATCTACTAGACTTCTGCCTTTCCATGTTGATCGGAACCAAGTGTAAACAGTGTTAAAGCATTAGGTGTGGAGGAGTGAACTATTTTGTCAGTAAAGCATTTACTAGACTTTTGGGAATCACAAAAATGGCGGAATATTAAGGGCTGTTAGTAGAATATCACCGATAAGATGAATAACTTTGCAATCAGGAAACTCTATTCTAGTGGGGAGGAAAGTTCACTTGTAATTATTCCTTAACTAACCCATGGTCCTATTGTAATGTCTCTCCCTTTAGAGGTTACTTTTTATTTAAATTGGATTTGGAGAGAATCATGTTAGGTGTAAGGAGAGGTAACGGTGGCCACAATTAGAAAGAGGTTTTTCAAATTGTTAAATTTTACGTACATCTTAGTAGAGCATTATAATCTGGGATGTCACCTGTAAACAAGAAACAAGATATTTTGCTGTGGGTGTGTCTCCTGTAGGGCTAGAGAGCTGACCAGGAGGGTCCCTGAGTGGTGGCTGCTTTGCACTTGTAAAGGTGCTGCTTTTTTTCCTTTGTTGGCTTTTTACTTGTGCCACTTCCTTCACCGCTGGCCAGCTTTTGCCCGCCACTGAGGGAAGAGGAAGTGATAAGGCAGGTCACGTTCTCTCCTGCTTCCCCTTTTTAGGCTCTTCTGTGTATAACGGAAAAAAGCCTGCTCTAATTAAAGCCTGTAGTATTAAAGCTGTTACTGGGAACCATTGCCTTTGCTTCTGATGTTGTTTAAGATTTTTCCCCACTTGTTCCCAGAGTTCTATGTCTAGAGTTCCTTCTTCTAGGAACCGTGGGCTTTGGGTTACAACAGTTTGCATTATTTGGTCCCTTAATTGAGCCGGCAAAAGTGATGCTCTGCCAGCCTTAAGCAATTGTTTCAACACTTTCATTTACTGTTTCTGTTCAGTTGATAACTGCTGTCTCCTGATGAAACCTCAGCTGGACCAATCCTCTCCGAATTTGGAAATCCCAAGTGGGCACCAATGACTTACTGATTACTCACTGACTTGACTGTACAGTCCCTCTTCACCTTCATTTTTGGGGGATCCATCACATTCCCTTCACAGTGTTCCTCAGACAAGGGCACCAACTGTGGTAGTGCTCCTCACACAGGAGCACCAGATGCAGGGGTCTGACCCACAGACCCTGACCTAGCGATGAATGAATGAAGTACATTGACAAACAGATATTCTGCTATGCCAGTCCAGCTGTGTCTGAACTGCTTACACGCTCCCTGGAGAGTACTGTAAACACTTGTGACTTTGACTTTGATCATTCAGTGAGACTCGCATTTATTATGTAAAGATTAATTGACAAAGATCCTTAGTAAACACTACTAGAGGGTAATTGACAATGGGGACGTCCTGAGTAGAATGCAATTAAGGACCCATGGTACATCAAACGTTAGTTTTAAGATCACATGGGTAAACAAGCTAGCTAGATAACCTACTCTACCTTTCTTTGTACTCATTTTAAGCTGTTTACTCAATGAAAGGATTAGGTTGCCTTCATCCATAACCTTATCCTGAGACTTTGGTAAAAACCTTCAGGCCTTCCAGGAAGGTTTGTGTATGCATCTATAACCATTTTTAAAATTTTTCCACCAGCCTGATTGAATCCCTACAAATTGATTCAGTTTGGGGAGTACTATTGTAAATGGTGTGTAAATGTTTCAAATTCCAATTATTCCTATCCATTATTGCTGATATAGAGGAAATCAATGGAGTGTGGTCTATTGGCCATCTTCTTTGCTTCTTCTTGTCTTCATTCCTATCAAGGCACAGGAAGGTAGACTCTATTTCACTTCCACTTCCTGAGATTACTGGCTGGATTCATCCTCCCTGTATTTCAGAGATTCTTTATGGCTGCCACTGAGGGCTCATGGAGAAGATGCAAGAAGCCCATGCAACATACTGCAGGGCAGCGTCCTGGGGGCATCAAACAGGCCTTCCTTCTACTCAGATGCCACCCAGGACATGACTTCAGTGCACTTGGGATACCTGGGTCTGCATCCACGGTGAGGATGACACCTCCTCTCCCCTGGAAAGGCCACAACATTGGGAAGTCTGGTTGCCAGGTGAGGAAAGCTGAGGAAAAGGTGTTCTGTCTGTGGCACCCAGTACTGAGGAGGGATCACTGCCCTAGGCCTTACTTCCACAACCCTGGCCTCCAACTCTGACGTTACAAAAGTGTTTCTTGAGTGAGGCTGTGACCTTGCATTGTCACAGCCACCAACATGTGCTTCACAGATGATCTGGGCTTGTTTCTGGGGAGAAATCCTGGTACAGAGAAAGGAGGGGTATTAAGCAGCACCACCGTGACAGGTCAAGGCCAGGGACACATTGCACCCTCCATCACCAATTTTACTCATGCTTTCATGGTTCATTTTTCTTACAGTGCTAAAGTAGTTGAAACAATATAGATTTTTTTTTTGAGACAGAGTCTCATTCTGTCCCCAAAGCTGGCAAGCAGTTGTGTGATCTTCACTCACTGCAAGCTCCATCTCCCAGTTCATGCCATTCTCCTGCCTCAGCCTCCTGAGTAGCTCGGACTGCAGGCACCCACCACCATGCTGGCTAATTTTTTTTTTTTTTGCATTTTTAGTAGAGACGTGGTTTCATCGAGTTAGCCAGGATTGTCTGGATCTCCTGACCTCGTGATCCACTCGCCTTGGTCTCTAAAAGTGCTGGGATTACAGGTGTGAGCCACTGTGCCCAACCAGAAAAAATTTTAAGTGTGTATATTAGAACTTACATCATTATATAAGTTTAAATATATGATGTATACCTCGTTAGCAACCATTTTTCTTTTGTTTAGACAGTCAAAGTTTAATTGAGAATGAATTTGTTATGGTACCAAAAATGCTGTTTTATAAAGATTGACATCCTGCTTTAGCTGAGATATACTAACTCTATCAAACTTTGACATTATAGCATATTAATTAAAGAAATTGGCCCTTCTGTTTTCTCAATCTTCACAATTTTAAATAAAATCAGAACCTAGTAAAAGTCAGTTAGCACTCGACCATGAGCCTGTATTGTTCAAATGTGACTTCCAGTGAAAGCCTGCATAATATGAACAAATTTCTCAAATATGTCCTGTTAAAAGGTGAACAGATGTTTACTGAACTTTTACAAATAACTATATTGTCATGAAAATAAGAACATTTTATAAGAGTTTCAGAATTCTGGAGGAATGGGCAGAGAGATGAAAGAGAAATGTCCTGATGAAAACCCTCAAATTCTGTAAAATATTTAAAGATATTTACTCTCAGTCAAATAAGAGTGACCAGTCACCCATGATACAACCCTTCTCAGGAGATTATGAAAAACGTGTGCCCAAGCTGTTCTGGGAACAATCTAGTTTTATACATTTTAGGGAGACATGAGAAATCAATCAAATACATGTAAGATATACATTGGTTTATTTCCCAAAAGTGGGACAACTTAAAATGGGTGGTGGTGCATTCTGATTGGCCGTTGGTTTAAAGAGTTAAGTTATCCAGAGACATGGAATCAATAGAAAGAAATATCTGGGTTACAATAAATAACAAAGGGTGTAGAAACCAAAGTTTTATCATGAAGAGGAAGCTAGAGAAAGGATTATAAATATTTCTTATCAGACTTAAGGTCTGTGTTGATGTTAGTGATGGTTAACTTTTTCTGAATTGCAAAAGGTAGGAGTGTATAATGAAGTATGTCTGATCCTCCTTCCTCTTAGGACCTGAACGAACTTTGGAATACCCTTAGCCAAAAAGAGGGGTCCTTTCAGATGGCTGGGGCAGGTTGGGCTTAAAATTTCATTTTTGGTTCACAAATGTTCCATTTCTGTTTACAAAAGTATAATCTATTAAGTTGTTATGAGTTAGGGTTAACTTAATAAAAAATTCTTAAATCCAGAGACATAGAATGTTAAAGAACCAGGAATCTTCCAAATCAAAAAAAGCTGTAAAATTTTTACACATTCTTTATCCATTCATGCAGTGCCATGTAATCAATTCCCATATTGTTTAATCTTGGGTTAGCAGTGCCATGAACCCATCAGTTTGTCAACTAGAGCTCTAGATATTGTTCCTCAGTTCTGTGTTATAATCTTAAAGTTAGTTAAACATTGACATCAGATTTTTATATCCAGAGGACCCATCATTGTTGTTTTTATCAGTCTCAAGGACGTTCTTTGCTGAAGACAAACATTCTGACCTGTAGCCCATGCAGATGCAGAGCCTGTTGGGAAAACATGAGATTGAAATACTACCTACCTGTACATTACAAAAGGTGTACAATGGCCATGGTTAAAACTGTAATGAAAGCTCATTATATCACAGTTAAACAGGAATTTGTCTGCTTCTGTGGCATACAAAATTTAAAATAGTAACTAGAATTATGACTCATGATATTATACTAGGGCATATAATAGATAGGGAGGACATTTACAAATTTCCAGGAATTCCATAAAGTTTTTGAAAAGATAATATTTTACCAATACAAATATAACCAAGAAAGTTTAAGCATATTTTCTTATTTGTATATTTTGTATACTGCTCATTTCATACTGTTTATCAAATGCTAGCATTCCATAGTAGATTGATAATTTATAAATACACCATCTCATAATTTCTAGAGGCATATGTTTTCTCTATAATAATGAGGCAATGTCTCATTCTTGCAGAAAATAATGTTTTTAAATAGATCAAAATATCTTCAGTCTCTCTGTGAAAATAAGAAGCTACAAATATATATGGTTCAATTTATGTTGAATAATGAAAAGTTTAGCATTTTATCTCATTTATAAACATTCTAGAAATTTAATAAACATCTTTTACTTACCATAACTTTAAGGTAGCAAATCACTAGAAAGATTTTATAAATTATTAGATATACTGTAAAACATAATTATTACTACAATAATGTTGGTCATAATAATGACAACTTAATTAAAATCAAATATAACTTTAAAGATTTTAAATATCTGCTGAATATAATATTAGTTTATTTGACAGGTAACAAAACAGTATAAAAATGTATGTCTGTTTTATTATTTAATAGTGAAAATTCTGAAAACATACTTGTTTTAGTAAGTCAAAATTATTAAAATAGTGCAACTTACCTGAGGTTTATCAAAATAATCTGCACTTGAAAAACATTTGGATCAGTTTCTATATTTTCTGAGTGTTTTGTTAATATTTTACTTAAAATATCTTACTTTTTTGAAGCCAATTTAGAACACTTTTAAATGATTTTAGAAATTGTTTGCAATGCCATCCAGAGATTTGAAAATATCACCTATAGAAAACATATGCAAACACATATACAGATAGATCTAAACAGATATCTTATAGCTTTAGTTCTAAAATTTTAGCCACAAATCAGGCATAAAAATTGTGATTGTAAATTTTAGATGTTCAGTTTACAAGATTAAGGGAACACACATAGCTGGTAAAGTACCATTTCTGGGTATATTTGTGAGGGTGCTTCTGGAAGTGTTTAAGAAGAGCCTCTATTGATTTAGTCATCATTCTCTTATTGGTACTGAGAGGGAGACTCCATTAAAATGAAGATTTCCTTAGTAGATGTGCATTTTCTTTACAAATGGATAAGTTCTGCTCTGTTTTCAGTTCTCTTGTGTCTGCATTTTCTTAAAATAATAGGTTCAAAATGATTTTTATACCCAAGAGGCTTATTTTGTGGTGGCATATTCTGGTTTCCTATAGTCATATATTGGGGGGCATATTCTGGTTTTCAACACCATCTTTCATAATTTCTGTACCATCATGATTTCTCATAATTTTTCATAATTTCTGTATTTTTCATAATTTCTGTACCAGCAGCCATGAATGAAATGCTGTTTTTTCCTCCAGCAATTCATTTGCCATGGTTTAAAAACGGTTTAGCAGTTCTAACAAATATAGATAGGCCACACCATCTCGTTGTGGTAATTTTTAGTCCCTTAATGATATATGAAGTTGTACATGTTTCTGTTTGCTTGCCATCTGTGTATATTCATCGGTGATGTGATCTGCTCAGCTCTTTACTATTTTAATTGGGTAGTCTATATTATTGTTGAGCTTCAAGAATCTTTGTATATTTTGAGTTAAAGTTATTACTTAGTTCTGTATTTTGAAGATATTTCTTCTCGGCTATGGCTTGTCTATTTCCTGAACTAGATTTTTTCACAGAGAATAAACTTTTAATATGAGAAAGTCTATATTGCTAATTATTTTTTCTGTTATGAATCGACTTTGATGTCATATGTTAAAACTCATGACCAAACCCAAGGTCACATACCTTTCTTTTTGTACTTTCTTTAAGAATTTGTATATTTTTATATTTTAAATCTCAGGACTATGTTAAGGAAAACTTTATATAAGTTGGAAAGTTTGCAACCGTTTTCATTTTATTTCCTGTGGTTTCCAGTTAATGATTCTTTCATAATTAAAACACACACACACACACACACACACACACACACACGCACACAAGAATAAGTTCCATTTCCATTTGAATTTCCAAAATGATGGCACTGAACAATCTGAACTCTGCCTTTATTTGGTGCCACAGGTAAGCCAGGAGGGGGCGCATGGTTCCCACATCATGACAACCACAGGGTGCAGGTGATGCCACCTTTTCTGACCATGGAGGCTCCCACGTGTTCAACATCGGCTGCTTTAGAGGACGAGACCTGCGTTCTGCTCAGCACACACTGAGCACCATCACCTCACTGGGGGACAGCTGGAAGCAGAGGTAAGTGAAAACCTTCCTCTGACTTATGAACATCAGGGATCCAGTAGAAAGGCCTTGTGGGGAAAATGAGAAATAAAATATTCCATGGTTTTTAAGATCGTTTTCTTGTAGTAGAAGCCATACTATGCGAACAGCCTACAAAGCCCTAATTCTCTTTTTCTAACTTCTGCCTGGAAAAAAAAAAAATTGAAGTCAGTTTTTACCAACATTCAAACCTTATAGCACCACCTAGTGGGATTTATTTCTCCATATGTGTTCATTGTATTAGCTCTTTGTACAAACCCTCTAGTCTCCTAATACCTCTCTCTTCTTTGTTCCTTTTTTCAAAATCAGGCTCCATGCCTCACTTACACACAGAAAAAATTCTTTTTCAATAACCCAGAAAAAAAAAAAAAACCTTAAGTGAAAAATTCAGGCCTAACTGCTGTCCCCATTAGAGGAAAGATAGTCATTCTATTTTTATGTTATTAAGATAGTTTTTCTAAAATGAGTTACATTGGCATTTTAACAACTAAAAAGGAGAATTACATGGGTAGTAGTCAATTGGCTCATTATTTGGAAATCCATAGTTTGACTAGAGCCATAGCTACAGAAGGCAGAAATGGGTGTTAGAAACACTCTCTCCGTTAAGAGATCTCACTGAAATCCAACTGCTGCATAGTCTCTCCCACAAACTTAGAATACCCTGGGGGATTTATGATCCAAGTGAGTCTAGAAAATGCAGAAGGGTAAAGAGTTCTAGCCTCAGAAAAGTGAGGATGATACTTCTGTAGACTAGCCCCTCCAGATACATGGGTGAAAATTATGCTTGCATTTATAGGCTCCACCTCTAATGGTTGCTGTGACCCAGAGGATGTAAAGAAAGTGGAGAAACGGGATGCCCTTTCTATCACTCTCTTCTCCCTGGGTCACTTTGAAAAGAAGGAAGAAGAGGGAGGAATGCCTCTGCTTTTTCCTTTTCCAGATAATAAACCATCTTTAGATTGCACTTTTCTCAAGTGTGTACTGAAGAACTGGGATTCTTTTAATCCTGAGACTCTGAAACAAAAGAGATTTATATTCTCATGCACAAGGGCATGATTATGTTACTAGCTCCAGGATAAACAGGGCTTTACTCCTGAAAAAAAAGTAAATTTTAGTACTCTTGCAGTCTCACAAATTCACCACACACAATGTAGAAGATTCTTTTTGTAAGGTATCACCCAGGTTTTTATTTTGTTTTCTCACATCCAAAAAATTAAAAATCTTGAACACAAAGGGTATCATTTGAGTAAAAGTTTAATAAGCTCTCTGCAGTGGAGAGTGGGGCCCAGGTAGATTACCCACTATGAGGCAGGGTTGGAGGTTTGTATAAGCTCAGAGGAGAAGAAATGTGATGACTGGTTTGAAACAGAATGACTAAGATTTTCTCAGAGTTTGACCCAGAACTAACCGGGAGCTGAAATGATTATTCATGGAGACCACTCAGATTTGCCTGGCACCTTGGCCCAGGGCCAAAAAGGAGGTAAAGTTAAACCTTGGCCTGAGATCTTAGCCTGAGACCAATCAGAGGCTGAAGTGATGATTCATAGAAACTCAGCTCCCAGTGAAAAGCATGTTCAAAAATAGAAAGAAAAGTGCCCAGCATAACCCACTGAAGCCAACTGTGTACATGCCCACAGACAAAGAATAGATTCTTTCCTGGAAGCCTACTGTCTGCACAAAGAACACAGGAATTTTTATGTCGAACCTTGCTCTCTCACCAGAGTACTTGCAGGCTTTTCTTAGAAACAAGAAAGGTGTGTCTATGTTTGGCCTTTTTTAAAAACAAACAAACAAACAAGCAAACAAAACATATAAATGGGCCAATGTTTGATCCAGTTTTCTTATCAGTGCCTGCAGCTTGATTTTATCAGGCTTTTTCTCTGCTTCCAGATATTTTACCAATAATCCACCACAACTGCTTAACATTTCTCTCTTATTTTCTCTCTCAGGAATGGAGACACTAACTGCTGTTAGGAAAGTGGAGTGATGGGCTGGGTGCAGTGCCTTATGCCTGTAATCCGATCACTTTGGGAGGCTGAGGAGGGTGGATCATGAGCTAAGGAGTTTGAGACCAGCCTGGCCAACATGGTGAAACCCCTTCTCTACTAAAGGTACAAAAAATTAGCCAGGTGTGGTACACACA
Source organism: Homo sapiens (assembly GCF_000001405.40). Lineage (NCBI taxonomy): Eukaryota > Metazoa > Chordata > Mammalia > Primates > Hominidae > Homo > Homo sapiens. The sequence goes on from NC_000024.10 coordinate 21,768,746, forward strand.
CCTATAATCTTAGCTACCCCGGAGGCTGGGGCAGGAGAATTGCTTGAACCCAGGAGGCAGAGGTTGCAGTGAGGTGAGATCATGTCATTGTACTCCAGCATGGGTGACATGGCGAGACTTTATCTCAATTAAAAAAAAATGGAGTGACAATATTTCTGGTTCCTTTTTTCTAAAGATAAGTATTATCTAAGTTACAGAAGTTAGGGTCTCTTCTGGGGCTGGTATAAGTGTCCTCAGTAGATAAGTGAATCCACACATCAACATTTGGAGCTTGATAGCCACTAGATGAGAAGACATAATTCTGGTTATACCATTGAGTATAGATGGTCCAAACATTAACACCACATATACAAGGAAAAGAGGTCTTAGCAAAGAAGCTAGTTAGGTCTAAAGAGAAGACTTAAATCTATTAAGAAAAGATCGTAGCCAACGGGAACAGAGTCCTCACTTTCTCTCAGTCCACTGACGATTTTAAGTAGGTCATTTAGCACTTGTATTTATTTCTTTATATTTTTACCTGACTAAAAGTGCTGATTCAGAAGCAGCATGTCTCATTGAATAGTGCATAGGCATTCTCTACTCAGGCCAAAAAGGCATCCAGAGTTTAATTATTCTTCATTATCTCTGAGGCTAGGAGATTTACCAATTGGCATTGGGCATCTGTGGCTTCTACAGTTGACTTCCACCCTTGTTGCATTATGATGAAAATACTAATGGCTAGTGTTTCAAGAAAAGTATACAGAGAAATCAAATAGGCCTCCTGATCTTGCATGTTTCAATTTTAATTTTCACAGTATAGGATTATAATGTGCATATTTTCCTCAATTCTCTCCCTCAAAACTCCATGTGACGGCATAGAGACAAGAGATTTATTTTTGTGTGTGCAAGAGAATCTACTCTGAAAAAGAGTCTCGACTGAAAATGTCACCAGATGATGGTGTCATTTTGGTGAAATATAAAAATAACATACCAGGGTCACTATTATTATAGTACCTGTTCCCGTTTAGTGTCTAGGGAGGATTAAATGTAGCCAGGGGCCACAGAGAAGGTAAAGCCCCATTTCCTAAACAGATGGTTCTAAGTTGTCATTTGTGAGGGTTCTTGCTAGATTTAGTTTGTACCTTGTAAGTTTACTCCTCCTATGTCTAAGAGGAGGTGTAATGTCCATATTCAGTACAGTTACTCAGTGTGTTGTTTGGAATTCTGCCTGCTGGTTTGGAATAATCTTTTTGGCAGGTGGAGTTTCAGAAAATCAGAGACACAGCATGTTCTGCCCAGTATCTTTGGTAATCCTCATTACAGGGGTTATTAGTTTAGATGTTTCCAGTTCTCCTGCATACATGTAGGATGCCACCATTATAAAATATTATACAAGCGTTCAGGATTCCATCTGTGGGCACATTTGGTTGGAAACAAGTATTATTTATTATCTGATAATAATGTTGGAAAGAGGCAGCATTTCTGCCTATGGGTAATAATTTCTACTAGAAATACCAAAGGAAAAGTCTGGTTAGATTGTTAATGTTTTTTCATAGTCTTTCCCAAGGTTTGAGGTCACCTGCACTTTTACTCTCCAGATCTCCACACTCTCAGCAATTACAAGATGGCGTTGCCATATTTGAGATTCTCCAAGTGTGGTTCCTTTTGCCTCTAAAGCAGAGAAAGTTGTTTGCTATTATTCTATCAACTTCACCTAGCCTAAGAGTTTGAGTCTTACATTCGAGAAATATGTCTTTCTGGATGGAGTTAAAAGTGATTCCATACAAGATTCCATTCATCCCTCTCAAGTGCTTAATTGTTAAAGGTGAAACTAACCAATAGAATACTAATATATTGAGTTCATATAATTAAAGCGTCTGTTTTAAATCTGATAAAATTTTTCAAGGCAAAACTAGAAGTTTGTCTTCTTGTATAGATGGGCAATGGCTAATATTGTAGGGACCTTGGGGTGCATGTCAGTGCTACGTCTAACAGTGAATGTTAGTAAACCTGACAGTAACAAAATCTTCATGTTTATTTTTTATTTGTCACTACTATTTTTGCTATAATGATAATGATTAAGTAAAATATTATGGTAATTGAGACTCTCTGTTTGATGCTTTACTCAGAAGGTGCTTCAGTTTATAACCCCACTGCAAGAGGTAAAGTAAGAAATGTAATTTCTATAAGTATTGTGTATTAGATAATTTTTATCTGATTTTTATTATAATACTTCTAGACTGTCAGGGACTGCTTTCACTGGTTTCCAGGCTTTCACTCGAGTGAAATAAATACGAGTCAATTTCCACCATCTTCACAGCTGAGGGAGTAAGGAGAAGAATAGTGTTAGGTCCCTCCCAACTGGGGTGTAGGGACAGGAGAGAAAGAGGAGGAGTCTACCCCAGTACCAACTCTTCTGGGTTGAATACAGGGGGATTTGGATTTTTGGGGTTGTACTTCTGATGATGTTTTCATTCCTCTTGAAAGTGGGGTCAGGGAGTTTATATGTTTAAAAAATTCAGAAGTCACTCATCTACTAAAATATCAATGTTAAGAGAAGGTCATACATAATAAATTTAAAGTAGTTCAAAGCCAGCTTTGTAGCGATGTACTTCACTGTCACTAAGGCCATGAAAAAGAGTAATTGAAAAGAGGTGAGTTTCTTGAGGAAGCTTCCTGAGGAATCTCTTGATGATATAATTTATTTTCTTCCCCTTTTCTGAAGACTGTGGTCTCCAGGCACAATGAAGATTATATTCTATGCCCAGAGCTCTTGAAATTCACTGGGTAATGGTTGCTTTAAATGAGGAGCCATTGTTGTTTTGGAGGCACTGAGGGAGGCCAGAGCAAAGAATTATTTTTTAAAATATTTCTTTTACTACCTCAAAGGATTTTTCTCTTCTACATAAAAATGCCTCCATACAGTTAGGGATACTGTCTACCTATACCAGCAGATACTGGGTTTTCTATGTTTTGGGTGTATGGGTAAAGTCTATCTGCCAACCTTCCCCTAGGTTTCTTTCCATTTTTTTTTGAGCTTGAGGGAGGAGAAGCTATCTGTTGGGGGGATTATTTTTAAGGTATATTTCACATGCATTTACAAACTGTTTGACTATTTTCAGTAGATTTTTACTGGAGAACATTCTCTGGATCAGTTGATAAGTTATGTTCTTTGTAAAGTGAAAAGTTTGCTGAAGGACATTAAGAACTTTCCACTGACTGGATGCTGACAAGTGGGGTTTTCTGCCTTTCATTTGTAACCATACAACAGTCTGAAAAATTGATTCTCCAGAAGTAGCCCATTCTATCTTTTCAGGGAGATACTGAGGCTTTATTTCTTCTATAATGCTTTCCCAAATAAGAAAGGCTTTAAATATTCTGGGAACTTGGGCTCTTTTTGCTACTGACTTGGCAACCTATTTTTTTGCTTTTGGCTATTTTATTAATCATTTTCTGGTGTCCTCTGTAATATATTACTGCTACTTCCCAGAAAGAAAGAAGAAAAAAGAAAAACTGAGGACACTAATCTATTTCCTGGTGATATTTAATGTAAGACCCATTAGCAGTCAGGAAATGTCTTTTTTTTTTCCTAAATAGTGGCATGGGCATAGAGAGCCAGAAGAAGCATACCTAGAATCAGTATGTGTCCACTGCCTTTTTCTCTAAATGGTTAAAAGACAATGAACATAGCTAATAAGTCTTGTGCTTTGTCAGAGAGGCATGCTGTCAAGAATATAAATCAGGGTGAATATTGCACACACTGCCTTAGAGGTATTTTGTTTTACAAAATAACTTTTCCCTCTAAAGAAAGTTCAGACAATTTTTCTAAAGAAATTAGTTTTAGGTTCTTTCTGGCTGCGCAGATTTTCACTACTACCTGTTTACAGTCATGTTCAGGTTGTTCAGGTTACTTCTTAAAGGAAAGGGAATAGGTTATGGGTTTTTTAATGGAACTGTAGATTCCTTAGAAGCAAAGTTTGATCTTTGACAAGGTGATTATCTGTTATCCAGAGACTTCCTTTAGAGGACACCCTACATTACGTGCGGTGTAATCAGTTAGAACATTCCCCATGCTCAACTTACTGGCTTGCAGTACATGCAAGGCCACCACTACAACTGCTTGGAGGCAACTTGTCTATGCTTTAGCCACCCAGTCAAGCTCTATGTTTATGTAACTTAGTGGTTGCTGGGCCAAATCTCAAGCTTGAGTTAAAACTCCTAAGCTATCCCTTCTCTTTTATAAGACATAAAGATGCAATGACTTATTTGTGGGTACACTGAGGGCCAGTGCTTTTTGTCAGGTTTGTTTGATCTGGTTAAGGTATTTGAGTTTTAGTTTCCTATGTCAGGAAGAAAGCCGAAGCTGCTTGAGATTCTTTTATAAGATAATATAAAGAAATAGCTGTTTCACCAAACCTTGGTATCCATCATCCTCAAAAACTTATAATGTCCAATGATCCTTTTAGATGTTTGAGTGTTTTGGGAATGGGAAAGAAGGAGATGGGATTAATTCTCTCCTTTACTAATGTTTTGGGTTTTCAACAGCCTTATTAATGAGACAGAGGTTCTGATCCAGCCTCCATTCTTCACTGTGTTTCTGTACCTCTAATATTTGGGTGTTGTTAAGACGTTGCAGAGTTTAAGGAAGTATTTGGCCTTTAGGTTATCTCTGATGGCAGCCATTTTCTACCTTTTGTCTATAAAAGATATTGCCTAACGCTAGGGTAAAAAAATAAAATAAAACTCTTAAGGCTAATCTGGACAAGTATAGCAGTTGCAGCTCTGCAAATTTTTCCTTGATGTGGCCAGACCTCTGGATTAACATTGGTTTTAACTAAGGGGAGACAAAGCTTTGTCCTGAAGCCGTTAGAATGATGGTGTCCATATAAGCTAAAATTACCTAGTAGAAGAGTGAAACTTTCAAAAATAATTAAATTGGGATATTTAAATACCAGGTCTCCACAACTACAACTGAAGGGTTTAGAAAATATCCTCTCTATTTCTACCTGGTAAAAAACTGCATGCAGTCTATACTCCCCTGTTTATTTTTTAACATGAGAACTTCTTTGACTCTGAGACTCTGGAGAAAAAAAGTGGCTTATATCATTTTGCACAAAGACTTGGACATTTTATAAGCAAGAGTTCTGAACTTCTTGGAAAAAACATAATTTCAATGGTATCCAATGACAACATCTTCACTTGCTATTCCAGACAACTGAGATCTTTGTAAGCTTTGTAAAATGAACCTGATTTCTTGGTAACCATTGAAAGCAAGTCTACAAATGGCAGATTTATAAACTTTTGAGGAATTCTCAAATGCAACTTTTGGGTGCTCTATCTGCCTCGCTTATAAAAGACCCCCAGCACCCATATTATCAGTTTCTTCAGTTGTGTCACCCAAAAAGTTTACAACTTCAGTGGGGCAGAAAATGCTCAATGAACTTCATGCTACTAACGTTCAAATTTTTTTTTCTCACAAAAGAACTTTAAATAAATTAAATAAAAAAGACTTAAGGAAGTTATCTGATGACCTTAATAAGTATATGAGGCTTCTAAAAATCAACCCAAGTGTTTCATCTTATGTGTAGTAGTGCTACACTACTTTAAAGCTATATCCTAACTTTTGTCAAGAAACAGGCAGTGCTAAAGGCAGTAGAGAGATTTGGAAATGAACAAGAAGTATTCTGCAACCAGTCAAATTAAAAAAAAAAGTCAAGAGTAAACAAAATAGTAAAATAGAAACTGTGACCCCATTTCCAATTGGAAGAGAAACAATGATTTTTGAAAATCTGAATTGGAGCCCTAGTGGTGCTAAGGTAAATGAAAAAAAAAAAAAAACACTTTTTAATGTGCATATTAAAAGACTTGCAAATAACAGAAATAAACATTTTAATTACTCTAAAACATTCTTGTTGAATCAGAAACAAGATAAAAATTTATCATCCTTTTTGGAAAGTTTGAGAAAACTTTAGTGAAACACATCTTTTTATTTCTCTAATTCAACTGAGACACAGATAATCTTAAAAGATAAAGTTATTTGTCAAGCAGCTGTTAATTTTAGGGAAAACTACAAAGTAGTCTGTAGAATCAGAGAGTACAATGGAAAACCTTCTTGGATTTACTTCCTCCGTATGCCACAATGAGAAACAGGAGAAAGAGGCCAGGAAAATGAGTAGAGGCACAAGAGAACAAAAGAGGCATTAGTGGACACTTTATAGGACAGTTGATCTATAATCCCTAAATACACTTGCAAATTACTACCAGTGTGGCAAGCTGGAACACTTGACAAAGCCTTGTCCAGGCATTTGGAAGAAGCTGTCTTAACCCTGTCCAGCTTTTGATGGAGACCACTGAAAGACTCCCTTTGTTTAGAGACATAGGTCACCATATCCAGGACCAGTCTTCAGATGATCAGGCAGAACTCATCTGTGCTGGTTCTCAATTTTTGAGCTTCAATGGCTCTAACTACCATTGCTATTTAGGAGTCCCAAGTAATTTGGGTGGCTAGAGGAAAAAAAAAAGCAAACTTTCTTCTAAACATTGCAATGAATCATTTTGTTCTCCTCTCCAATCCAGGCCTTACTTATTCATACAGTGAAGGAATTTAGCTGATTTGCTCTAGATAAACAGCAAAAGAAAGTTTCCCATAAAATCCCAGCTAATGGGTCAGTGCCTTATTTTCAACAACACGTAAAACCAGTCTTGAAAAATAAGCTGCAGGCACCAACAAAAATTAGTACATGGAGTTATTATTGCAGATAAACCCATGGCTCCAAAGATAGGAGAATCTTTCACCCACTTAAATAAAAACTTGCAGAAACTCTGGCTCACACGTCTAAGGGAACTAGGCCTGACATAAAAATGACTTTGACTTTTGCATAATCAATGGGCTCCATAAAAAGAATTTCTTCTGTTTGTGGACATTAACACAGTGGGATCCAGTGGTTTCCGGGCAGTCACTATTTTGTTGTTGTTGTTGTTGTTGTTTGCTTGTTTGTTTGTTTGTTTCTTAATTCTGATTTGTCTTCTATTAAGTATTTCGTCCCTTGATTTGTGCTGCTTTAAAGTTGTGGGCCAAACTTTCATTTTAGCTGCGTATAGATTTTATGACAAGCTGAACAGCCTCCAGTAATCATCACATCAGCTCTGATTGCTACTGGACCAACATTTTGGGGAAAGGTTTCTGATTGATCTCAAGCCAAATTCCCAAGCCAAGGTGAGTCACACATTCTCCAAGACAGCCTGCAGAATAAGCACATTCCTTCCCCTTCTTAGTTTATAAAGACCCTGGAATAAGAGGTGAATAAGCCCCTCTCATAATCTGTGTTTTTCTTAAAGCTATGCTTGTTTATTAAGCCCTGATAACTGCATTAGTAACCTTGTCCTTAAAAGGCCTCACCCCCAGTACTTTGGGATCCTAAGGCAAGTAGATCACTTAAGGTCAGGAGTTCAAGACCAGGCTGGGCAACATGGTGAAACCCCATCTGTACTAAAAATACAAAAATTATCTGGGTGGGTGCCTGTAGTCTCAGCTACTTGGGAGGCTGAGGCAGGAAAATTAATTGAGCCCAGGAGGCAGAGGTTGCAATGAGCCAAGATTCTGCCATTGTACTCCAGCCTCAGTGACAGAGCAAGACTCCATCTCAAAACACACACACACACACACACACACACACCCCTCCATAGGTGAATAATCTGATGAGAAAAATGGAAAACAAAAAATTGTATAACTAGTATATTTTCTGTTGGTTTGTTTGGTTATGTATACATTATTTTTATTAAAAGATCTCTAATTCATTAGCTTAAGAAAAGATAGCCACTTGACCAAAATATTATGAAAAGGAAAAATAAAGGCTGTGGTAGCTTTCAGTTCATGTGACTTTAACTTTTTAAAAATAAAGCACCCTCTGCCAGGCATGGTGGCTCATACCTGTAATCAAAGAACTTCAGGAGGCCAAGGCAGGTGGATCACGAGGTCAGGAGTTCAAGTCCAGACTGGCCAAGGTGGTGAAATCCTGTCTCTCCTAAAAATACAAAAATTAGCTAGGCATGGTGGTTGGCACCTGTAATTCTAGCTACTTGGGAGGCTGAGGCAGTGCAATGAGCTGAGATCATGCCACTGCACTCCAGCCTGGCAACACAGCGAGGCTCTGTTTGAAAAAAAAAAACAGCCTCCAAGATTATTGATAAAATGCAAATGTCTTCCAGATGTTAATATGTGGTCTATATTATGCAGGTAAAAAATGTAAGTTTCCTAATTGTTTGAAGGATGTAAACTACTTCTTTGTCCTTTGAAAACCATAGGCTTGCCTGCTTCACTATTGGTATAGCCTGGGGACATATAAAAGTAATCACACCTCTAAGTAAGCTGAGAGAGTCAGCCTTTATCTGCACTTAGCACACAATTAAAACAACTTACCATGTTTTACATTCAAGTGAAAAATTACAAAATGTTACCATTATAACATGTGATTGAGACTACTAAAATTAAATTTTCATGTAAGGTGTATAAGAAAAGTAAAATATAGTAAAATTTATAAAATGGCATGTAAATGCTCATTTATCTTAGAGATAAAGACTTCTCTTAAATCAAATCACATAAAGCTAAAGATTTAAGCAGATGGAAGAACAACTGTACATGTTAATCTTGCAAAAGAAAATGCTGTCTGAACACATTAAATAAAAAGGGATATATTATATGGTTACTCTATAAGTGAAGCATTGAAATAAAAGTGCAGCGCGGTTTTCTTGAGATGCTAATCTGCTCTTTAGCAAAATGTGTAAAGAGTTGTTAAAGGGTTTTAAAAAGTTTATGAAAACCTCACCTCGTTGTTAAACTGATTAAGATAAATTTGTCTATAAGGTTTAATTTAAAAATAGCAGTAAATTGGACTGGCACAGTGGCTCACGCCTGTAATCCCAGCACTTTGGGAGGCTGAGGCAGGCAGATCATGAGGTCAAGAGATGGAGGCTGATGAAGGAGAATGGCCTGAACCTGGGAGGTGGAGCTTGCAGTGAGCTGAGACTGTGCCACCCCAAGCTGGGTGATAGAGTGAGCCTCTGTCTCAAACAAACAAAGGAAAAAAAAAAGAATAGCGGTAAATTTAATAGTGGACTAATGCAACAGTAAAATCTGTTTCCACTCTAGAACAAGATTTTTATGTAATATAAAGGCTAATAACAGTAGCTTTTTGTCACTTCAAATTTTTAAATTTATTTTGGCAAAACAAATGACTTATGATAATCTTTATATTTTATAACAGTAAATGTTTTAAATTTCGTACATATTTGGCAGGCATTTCAAAAACAAATTTTTGTTACAGAGTTGTCCTTTCTGAGTCCTCGATTTTAAATGCTACAGAGGGCTCCCATTTCAAACACGTCTTTAACATGTATTTTTAAAAGTATTTAACAACCTTATGCATTTAGGTTGTTTAAATACATGTGGTTACCAAGCTAATTTTAATTTTCTTCAGGTTACATTTTAGTAAATAATATTAACATAAGTTTTGTAGCCATATGCGGTGTCAAAGTTCTAAGGTCTAAAAAGGCTATCAAACTTAATCAAAATTATTATGTTTAGCCATTGTAAACCATAAAAATAGCCATTTTTTGTCAACGAGTGTCTGTAACCACTTTAGGCATTCTGTCATTTACAGACAATTGTTTTAATCCTTTTCTAAAAATGGTTTATAATTAGCTGTAGGACTTTAACAGCTGCTCTCAAATGCAGGTTTATAATTAGATATTAACAAAACTCATGAAAAGCTTAAGAAAATGGACTAAAAACACTGAAGCCATTTTTTCAACATTGACTTCAAATATTTCTGTGTATTTTGTTTTTCAGGGTTAAGGGAACTTTTTTGTGCAGGCAACAGTGTTCAACAACTGATTAAAGTATACTATTGTAAAAAATATAAAAATATTTTATTTTTCCCTCCCTGTTTTCTCTAATACTTGGTAACTAATTTTTGCTTTTCTTAACTTACAGCAATATAGTTGTTTGCATCAGTGCAAAAAAAAATTTGTTTTAACAAAACAAAACTGGAAAAAAACTGGTTATTTTACTGAGGCTTTGACTGAAAGGATATGTTTCTCTTTAAAGAATAAAGCTTGAGGCAGGGCATGGTGGCTCACACCTGTAATCCCAGCACTTTGGGAGGCCAAGGCGGGGGTGGATTGCCTGAGGTCAGTAGTTCAAGACCAGCCTGACCAACATGGTGAAACCCCATCTCTACTAAAAATACAAAAAAAAAAAAATTAGCCTGGTGTGGTGGTGAGCACATGTAACCCCGTCTACTTGGGAGGCTGAGGCAGGATAATCACTTGAACCTGAGAGGCAGAGGTTGCAGTGAGCTGAGATCACACCATTGCATTCCAGCCTAGGTGACAAGAGCAAGACTTCCTCTGGAAAGAAAAAAAAAAGAATAAAGCTTGACTTCAATAAACAACGTAAAGTCCCTTAGGGAAAAAAATGGCTTTAAACCTTGTCTACACCATTCCCATTCAGGGTTCTGAACCTGTGGTAGGTAGAGAATATCACTTTCTCAAAAGCCTCAAAACAACCCCATGCTTTTGGTAACTCAATAAGAGAGGAGTTTACCCAGCTCAGTATTTAAGGGTACAAGCTCATGGCTGGTCTCAGCTTTAAAACTTCCTGAGATTCCTTGCAGAACGGAGTTCCATGAAAGCCAATTGAAAAAAAAATGTAAAGGTAATTATTCTTGCCTGCACTTTATAAAACTAGGCCAAGTGGAAGACTGACATCTATTTTCCAAACAATTTAGTTCTATCATGATATTTTTTTACAAAAATATGAACTGAAGAGAAATAATATGTTTCAAAACTTATTGTACTTCTGTCATTAATGCATAGTCTCATAAGTTCTCATAAGTTGTTTTTAAGTTGTTGCCTACATTTTAAACTAACCCTGCTGAATCCCATGAGCCAATTAATAATCTTTGACTTTAGATCAAAGTAAACAGAAAGTAATGAGTAATTTAAAAATTTGTTACAATATTATATATAATTCTTGGCAAAAATCCTACAAATCCTGCCAGTTGATGAAAATAAATATGGTTCCCATAATACAGAGGCTTGTTTGTATTTTTTTAATTAAAGCTGAGTTCCATATACCTAAATCTTAGCAGGCATAACTGTAGCCATCAGTTATAAGGGTGTGTCACCAGGCTTGGGACACTTAAGCTGTCCTTAGCCAACTTGTCTTGTTACAATACATGTCCTTTAGTAACTCTATTTTTTTTCCTTGAGGCTGTCAACTCCAAATAGTAATAATGCAAGTAAGACCACACATAAAATCACCTATCTTCTGAGGACTCTGAAACAATGTCTGAAATAAATTCTAACTGCTGTTTTTTACAAACACCCCTCTGCAGCAGAGAGTAGCCAGAAAGATCAACACTTAATCTCCCTAAAGCAGTTAGGTTCTTTATTTCTGAGGGGAGACTGAGAAAAGTTAGCTAGCTTCTCTTAGGTAAAAAGCAAGGCAAGGGTTTCCAGAGAGCCCCAAGCAGATATGTCAGTGCCTCAACCAAACATAACACAACAATCAGCCTTAAAAGAAATTAAGCTGAAACCACTGATACAGGACCTAACACAGTGGCTACTGCCTGAACATATTCCTGCAGCTACACAGACGGAAGAACCTCCAGTCCATTCTGGAAAAAAAAAAAAAAAACTTGCACAAAACTCAGGCTTACACAGATGAAAGAAAGAGGTGTGGCATAGAATATTTTTGTCCTTTGTATAATCAGTGCCCCACACCCACAATGAGAAAATTTTATTCTCCTTTCACAGGCATAAATTCAGCAAGCTTCAGTGGGTTCTCATTCGCTCTATTTGTTGTTGTTATTGTTCAGACAATAAGTCCAGCTTCTAAGAATTATCACTTAAGCTCCTGACTGATCCTGGGCCAAACTCACAAGCCAGTCTTTCATTTGCATTTTTAAGTCTTCTTGGGCTATCCTGAGCAGTCTCTATGAATTATCACTTCAGCCTCCTATTGGTCCCAGACCAAGGTCTTAGGCTATGCTTTCTTACTGGTCCAAGACCAAGGCTAAGACACATTGTATAAGATAGCTGACAAACTAAGAACATCCCTTTCTCTTTTCAGTTTATAAAAATTTTAAACACTTGCCTCATAGTTTGCAACTCATGTGGGCCCATATTTCTGCTGGTGAAATGATCTCTTCTTTTGCATATTAAAGTTTTCCTCAAACTTTACCCATGTGTTCATGCTCCTTAATCTTCTAAATTGTGTGTCTGTGTAGGTGTGTGTGTGTGTGTATATGTGTGTGTGCATATACATATATATATATACACACACACATGCTATGTGTATTTATACATATATCTATATACACAAACCAGACTGTATATATACACTTACATATACTGAGTAGTACATATGTGTATGTGTTGCTCTGAGCAATATCTAAAACAAAAAAGAATTGTTACATCTTGTTGCACTGCTAAAACTAGTACATTATCCGGTCATGTGACCTGCTTTGTAGCTTTTTTTTTTTTTAAATCAAGACTGCCTGAAAAATAAACTTCTTTCTTAAGATTAACTGGTGCTCAACTGAGTCAGAAAATACAGAGGTGCGTTTTACTCACCCTCTCTCAGCCTTTCCATAAAGATTGAGGGATTCTCATCAAGTTTTAATCTATTATGTTTATCTTAGAGTAATTAAGAGGTTTGGCACTGTTCTTTTACTAGCATTCCTGTACATGCATTCTAAATTTTTATTCTTTTCCACTCCTCTATCAAATGACGGGGATTCCAATTATGTTTTCAAAGAGCACTGTCTTTTTTCCTGTTGGGAATAAAGATTATGCTATCTGTTCACCTTAGTTTTGTCTTTCACCATCCGTTTTTCTAGATTTCTTTCCCTTTATACTTTTAGGCTGGGTATAGTAAATATGTTGTTCATCTTCAAATGCTTTTGCTGCTAGTAAAGCTGCCAATTTTTCTGCAGCTTTGGTTTAGGATTAACGTAGCATGTCTCCACATACAATGAAATACCTGTGTTAGATTTTGGAATGCCTCTATATATCTATTAGAGTCATCAGAGAACTCGACTAGATTTACATTTATTTTTCTAAGGCCCTGCAATGAAAAGAGAACTTGAAATCTAGTAGTACCACGTTTTTTTGGCATTTTCTACAGGGCCCACATTGAAATTGATGGTTTACAGGGTGGAACAGGGAGAGAAACTGATGACATGGACATTAGAAAGCCTATAAAAGAGGTGCGGGTAGGGCATTTAGAAGTAGAATTTAAGGGTTTACCAAGGGTTTGTGTCTCTGACTTTGGGGCATTATCTTTTGTATGCCTGCTTTCTATGATGGCCAAAGCTCAGAGACAGTTTTACAATACTTACAAAGATCTGGGTTATCTACCAAGGCAACGGAAGATTGTACATTGGAAACGCTGTACATTTCTAGGCTGCATCTCTGTTTAAAGAAGTTTTACCAATGACACCTACTAAGTTTCTCTCTCATTGTCCCCTGCAGGTGTGAAAACACTAATTGCTGTTAGGGAGATTGAGGATTGATCTTTCTAGCTACTTTTTGCTAGGAAGGGTCATCTTGTAAGGAAATACAACAGCTGGAGTTCACACTGAGGTTAGGGTAAGGTTTTTCAAAACCACGGTGTTTACATAAGTGGTTTCGTTTGCAGTACAATTTGTTTGATTGCCTCTATGTGAGATGAAACAATCTTGGTTATCAAAATATAAAGTGTTAAAATGAGACGAGGTGAGGAAAAGGATAGCTTAAAAATTCTGAGGCTGCTGACATGCCCTTATAACTAATAGCTATAGATATGCTTAACAAGTTTTGGGTGCATGGGGCTTGGCTTGGCTTAGCTTCCTTGGTCTTGTCCCCCAAAACAAAAAACCCCCTGAATTATGAGTCAACTATATACTCTCATTACCTGGCAAGCTTTGTAGGGTAATTGCCCATAACAAATATATGTTTACATATTTTGCAATATTAATATTTTTATATTTTCAACCTAGCTGCAGCTAGAGATTTCTGGCTGGCTCACAGGGATCAACAGGGATAGCCTAAAATATAGGCAAATGCTAAAGACAACTAATGAGATGAGAATATAATGGCAAACATATGATAAGATTTGAAACATGTAGGCTAGTTGAGGTAGCTCACACCTGTAATCCCAGCACTTCAAGATCAAGATCAGCCTGACCAACACATAGAAACACCGTCTCTACTAAAAATACAAAGTTATCCAGGCATGGTGTCACATGCCTGTAATCCCAGCTACTTGGGAGGCTGAGTCATGAGAATCATGTGAACTCAAGAGGCAGAGGTTGTGGTGAGCCGAGATAGTGCCATTGGCCCTCCAGTCTGGTAAACAAGAGTGAAACTTCATCGCAAAAAAAAGAAAAAAGAAAAGATTTAAACATAATTTTTCTCTCTTCATTTCTTATTACTGTAAATAAACAAAGTATGTTAGGCCTGAGTTGAAAATAGTAAAATGAACTATAATTTTATATTTAACCTAAGTATTTGCATAAAGTGCAGCAAAAATAATTATTTTTAAATAGTCTCTCTAAATTGGCTTTTACGAAACTGTTCTTCAGGAGGAAACTCTGATAAGCACTCTTAAAGCCAAGAACAACTATGGGTTTTACTTTCAAATACCTATGAGTTGGGCAAACTTTACTCTTCTTGAGGTCCAAAAACATGAAAATCCTGGGCCTGTTAGCAAGTGACATTCTTTACTCACCACAAGTCTGCAATATTTTGTGGGTTTTTAATACATATCAGGAGGTAATAAATGCACACTTTATCTGTCATATAAATGAAGTTCTTCTCTCAATCTTTCCCTAGATAGCTTTTCAGATATTGAGCAGCAGGGATAGAAACTGTCTTTTGAGATTATTATTATTTTTGAGATGAAGTCATGCTCTGTCTGCCAGGCTGGAGTGCGGTCATGCAAACTGGGCTCACTGCAACTCCTGCCTCCTGGGTTCAAGTGATTCTCCTACCTCAGCCTCCTGAATAACTGGGACTACAGGTACATACTACCATGCCCAGCTATTTTTTTTTTTTTTTTTGTATTTTTAGTAGACATGAGTTTTCACCATGTTAGCCAGGATGGTCTCAATCTCCAGCCCTTGTGATCTGCCCGCCTTGGCTTCCCAAAGTGCTGGGGTTACAGGCATGAACCACTGCACCTGGCCCAAGAAGATTATTTTTAAGGCAGGTTTCAAAAGTATTAAGAATCTGTTTGACTCTTTTCAGTAGTTTTTTTTTCTTGTTGTTTTATAAGTCAAAACTTGGTGGAGGACATTAAAAACATTTCACTGGCTGAAGGCTCATAATGCAATTATAAATATTTAGAGTGCTGAAAAATGTATCTTTCAAAAGTGGTCCATTCTATCTTTGCATGGGAATACTGAGGCTTTATTTCTCTAATGAAGCTTTCTAAGACAAGAGAGACTTCCAGTATATTGCAAAATTGTTTTTTTTGTTGTTGTTGTTGTTTGTTTGTTTGGCTCTCTGGTTTCTCAATCTATTTTTCTTGGCTGCTTTATCAGTCCCCTACTTGTGTCTTCTACAATGTAGTACTACTACTTTCCATGAAAGAAAAACAGGAGAAAAATCTATGTATATCCTGATGATACTTAATGAGTGACTGTCAGAAAATGTATTTCTTTCCACAAAGTGGCATGGTCATAGATGATCAGAAAAGCATATTTAAAACCAGTATAAATATTATAAACATTTCTTTTTTCTTTTTTTGCTTCATTTGAGTGTTCTCACAAGGGCAAGTAACTCAGTGATTTGAACTCTGGTGCCTGGTAAGAGAGGCATATTCTCAGTAATATAATTCAAAGGGACTACTGCATACCCTAACTTTGGTGTTTCTTGTTTTAGGAAAAAGCTCCATTTCTACATTTACTAAGGGAGTTTCTTTGAGGTCCTCTCTGGCTGTGTAAGTTTTCACTACTCTCTGTTAACAATCATGCTGAGACCAGCTCAGTTGGTGAGACCCTAACCCAGTGGCAGTAGTGGAATTAAACACACACACAGAAATAAAGAGGTGTGAAGTGGGAAATCAGAGGCCTCACAGCCTTCAGAGCTGAGAGCCTCAAACAGATATTTACTCACATATTTATTAACAGCAAGCCAGTCATTAGCATTATTTCTATAGATATCGAATTAACAAAAAGTATCCCTTATGGGTAATGAAAGGATGGGCCAAATTGAAGGAATAGGTTGAGCTAGTTAACTGCAGCAGGATCATGTCCTTAAGGCACAGATCATGAATGCTATTGTTTGTGTTTAACAATGCCTTTAAGTGGTTTTCTGCACTGGGCAGGCAAGGTGTTCCTTGCCCTCATTCCCATAAACCTATAACTTTCCAGTGTTGGCTTTATGGCCATCATGCACATATCAGTGCTGGAGAGATTTTGTTTATGGCCAGTTTTGGGTCCAGTTTATGGCCAGATTTGTGGGGGGCTTGTTCTCAACATGCTCCCTTCTTTAATTTTCAAATTGATAAAAGCAAAGGCAGCTTTGTCATGGTGAGCTACTTCTTGCAGGAGTCAGGATCCACATCTACAGACTATACAAACAAAAACAACACAGATTAAAAGCACAACCATTATTGAAATCACAGAGCTTCCAAGTGTTTTGATCCATTTTAATGGGTTACCAGCTGCTAATCTGTCTGCAGCTCCTTTAAGCACTCCGGTTCCTGACATTAAGGTCAGGTGTGCCTGGGATGCTTTAAATATTTGTTCTTTTAATTTTGCAATATATGCTTTTTCATTCTTTCACAAATTTTGATCTTATTAAGAGGTATTAATGGTTTCCACAAATCCTTATGTTTAGCTCCTACAGCAGGCCATATCATTTGAGGTTGAGGCGTAACTATACCACCATGGTTCCAGAAAATAGGAACTCTTGCCATACTTCTTATCATTTCTACCATCCTACCATTTTGTTCAGGCAAGCTGAACATAATGTGGCCATGGCACGCAGACTGAGAGGTGCAATTCAAGAGAAACATCCCCTTAGGGGATCAATCAATAATGATTCCATAGGAATCATTGTGCAGCACCTCTGCCTGTTCTGCAAAGAAATTTTCCTAAACAATTACATTCATTATTTCTGTCCAGGTTCTATTTTTTTACAAATAGGTTTTTGAGGGCAGTATGCCTCAATTATAGGGGCAGATTTATTATGTAAAATACTGAGATCAGAAGGCATGTGTAACTGTGGCATAGAGTGACTATATCCAGGCATTATTACCAGACAGGATTGATAAATATGCCCAATAAGCATAATTGTTCTCTGTGTCAGCCTTTGTTGAAGGAATACTCACAGCAGTGGTGATAACTGCTATGATAGCTACCATTAAATTACTCATTGTGACTGGTTGTACTGCTTTCCTCAGGTTTTCTTCCGCCATCTTTGACACCTTCTTGATCTGTCCCCAGGTCAGTGGCTGTGTTCAACAGGTGTTGCTCATGACAGTTGGGGTGTTCCTCAGAGGCATCCTTGATGTGGCTGCAACTGGGGGATCCTCGGGATCCTCACGGAGTCTCTTCCTTGGCATCTGGCTCATGATAAGGTTTCAGGTGTCTTCATGGTGTCCAAATTGGTTGTTGATTTTGGCCTGGAGAAACACAAGCATAACCTCCACCCCCAGTTATTATTTTACCTATTTCCCAATTTCGTTATTGTATCTCTCCACCAAATCAGTTGTTCTGCTTCTGTCTTTGCAGGTGGTTTCTGGAGATGCTGTTCAGCTGCTGATAACATCTGGCCTTTGGACAGGCTCAAAAAAATTAAAGCTAATAATGCTAGATTCAGTTGCATCTATGGGGTTCCATATTCTCCATTTCCCCCTTTCTGCTTTTGCAACTGCTGTTTTTAGGGAAAGATTCATTCTTTCCACTATGGCTTGTCCTTGAGAATTGTATGGGATACCAGTAATGTGTTTAGTATTCCACATAGAGAAAAATGTAGCTAGAGTTTGGATAGTACAGCCTGGGGCATTAACTGTTTTAGTAGAAGCTGGAATGCCCATCACCACAAAACACTGCAAAAATTGATGTTTAACACAGTCAGAAGACTCACCTGATTTGCACATAGCCCAGAAAAAGTGAGAAAATGTGTACACACATATATGTACAAAAGCTAGTCTCCCAAATGAGGAAACAAGTGTGATATTCATTTGCCAAAGAGAGTTAGGTTCCAATCTTCGATGATTAACTCCTCCTATAAAAGATGATGAATGTACGATTTGGCAACTTGGGCATCACTGGATAATAGCTTAACTTATTTCCAGGTAATGCTGTATCTGCATTTGAGACAAGGCATTAACATGGGTTAAATTGTGAAAGTGTCTAGAATTAGATACTGCATTAGCAATGAGGTGATTAGCCATTTGATTCCCTTCAGTCAAAGGTCCTGTAAGAGGTGTATAGCCCTAGTGTGAGTGATGTAAAAAGGGTGCATTCTACTTCTAACTGCTGTTTGCAGTTGGGTAAATAAAGGCATCATTTGTTCATCTGTATCAAATCATAACTGAGCCTTTTCAATTAACTGTGTGGAATGAAATACCTATGAAGAATCAGAAATCACATTAATAGGCATATCAGAAGCAGTAAATACTTCAATTACAGCTACAAGTTCCTCTTTTTGAGCTGAAGTATAGGGCTTCTGAAAAAGTTTACTTTTCTACCAAGAATAAGAAGCTTTACCATTACCAGGCCCATCTGTAAAACAATGAAAACGCTTAGCAGGCTGCAGATTGTTTACCACAGGAATTGTAAATGCAAACCATTCACAGTCATGCTCAGCTAAGGGGATAGTTAAGAAACAGTCTTTTAAATCTATGACTATTAAAGGCCAATTCTTTTTGGAATTATAGCAGGAGAAGGCAATCCTGGCTGTAATGCTCCCATAGGTTGTATAACTGAATTGATAGCTCTTACGTCAGTTAACATTCTCCATTTACCTGATTTTTTCTTAATTATGAAAACTGGAGAATTCCAAGGGGAAAATGTTGGAGCTATGTGCCCATTTTCTAATTGTTCAGTAACTAATTTCTCTAGAGCCTCCAGTTTCTCTTTATATAGCAGCCATTGTTCTATCCAAATTGGCTTATCTCTTAACCATTTTAAAGATATAGCTTCTGGAGGCTTAACAATGGCCGCCATGAAAAATTGTTTCCTAATCTTTGGCAAGAATTTGTCTTTCCACTTGAAGATTTTGTTTCAACCCTTGCAGTTTTTTTATAGTCTCATACCAGGAACATACCCCATTTCATGCACCATATGTGGACTTTGAGGGCTATATAATTGTTCTGGAATTAGAACTTGTGCTCCCCATTGTTTTAATAAATATCCTCCACATACATTTATAGGTACCAAAGTTATAATTGGTGGAATAGTCCCAGGTTGTCCATCAGGCCCTTCACAAAGCAAAATAGAACTACTTTGATATACTTCAGGGGCTTTACCAACTCCAACTCTGTTAAAATGAGCGGGTTGAATTGGCCATCTGGATGGCCAGTGCTGTAGAGAAATGACTGAAATGTCCACTACTGTATCTACCACATCTTTAAATTTCTTTCCCTCAATAGTTATTTCACAGGTACGATGTTTATCAGTAATTTGATTTACCCAATAAGGTGCTTTGCCTTGTTTATTTGTGCTTCCAAGTCCTTGTGTTCATTTAATTTCACATTTTCCCATTCCCATATACAGCACAATCAAGAGCTGTGCTATACACTCTCCTGGCTCTGCTTTTCAGGGAACAGAAGTAGATATAACAATTTCAATTTCCCCATTATAATCTGAATCAATGACTCCTGTATGTATTTATACCCCTTTTAAACTTAAACAAGAGCTGCCTAGAAGTAATCCTATTGTCCCTGCTAGCAAGGGTCCACAGACTCCTGTTGGGACCTTTTGTGGCAGTTCCCCAGGCAGAAGCCTCACAGCTTTTGTGCAGCATAAATCTACTGGGGCACTACCAGCTGTGGCAGTGGACAGACATTATACAGAGGTGAGGGAAGAGCCTGAGCTAGAAATGCCCCAGTTTAGAACAGGGCCCGGGATGGGCACCCCATGGCATTTCCTGAAATTGGGTTCCCTTCTTTATCAAACTTAGAGTGACACTGATTAGTACAATGTTGTCCTTTTATATGTTTTGGACATATTTCATGCTCAGCAGTTTTCTTTTTTCTCCTATCTTGTGGCCTGACTCGCTGATTTTTTCTACATTCTTTTTTAGTATGACCATGCTTCCCACAGTTTAAAGAAGCTCCATGAAATGGAGTATTTCCTTTATCCACTCTCAGTCCTGCCATTTCCTGTGCCAACAAAGTAGCTTTATGCAGATTGCTTCTGATACCATAACAGGCCTTGATATAATCAACTAAATGTGCTTTCCCTGTGATAGGTCACAGAGCAGCCTGGCAATCAGGATTAGCATTACTGAAAGCTAATAACTGCAACACTATATGCTGAGCAGCCAAATCTGCAGTCAT
>NC_000024.10:56673214-56771509 GCF_000001405.40 Homo sapiens
GAATTCATTGGAATGGAAGGGAATGTAGTGTAATGGACAGGCCTGGAATAAAGTGGAATGCTACGGTCTCGAATGGAATAAAAATGTATGGAATGGAATGCAATGAAACGGAATCGAATGTCATAGAATGTAATGGAATGCAAAAAAATGGAATCCAAAATCATTGACTGGAAAGGCTGGGTGTCGAAAGGAATTGACTCCAATGGAATGGAATCGAATGGAATGGAAGTGAATAGAATCGAACTAAATCGAATGGAATGGAATTGATAGGAACGGAATGGAAAGGAATGCAATGATTTGGCATGGAATGGAATCGAATGGCATCGAATGGAATGGAATGGAATGCAATGGAATGGAATGTATTAGAATGTAATGAACTTTAATGGAATGTACTCGAATGGATTCGACTGGAATGGAATGTTCTGGAAGTGAATGGACTCCAATGGAATGGATTCAAAAGGAATGGAATCGTACGGAATGGAATCTAATGGAATGGAATTAAATGGAAATGAATCAAATTGAATAGCACGGAATTGAATTGAATGGAATGGAATGCAATGGAATCTAATGAAACGGAAAGGAAAGGAATGGAATGGAATGGAATGGGCTGGAATGGAAAGGAATCGAAACGAATGGAATGGAATCGAAGTGAAGAGACTGGAATGGAATGCACTGGAATGGAAGGGAGTGTAATGGAAGGTTGTCGAAAAAAATGGAATCGAATGGAATGGAATTGAATGGAACGGAATAGAGTCGAATGGAATTGAATGGAATGGAATGGACTAGAGTGAAATGGAATCGAACCACAAGGAATGGACAGGAATAGAATGGTCTCGAATTGAATGGAATCGTATGGAATGGCATCAAACGGAATGGAATGGACAGCCACGGAATGGAATGCACTCGAATGCAATGGAGTCGAAACTAATGGACTGGAATAGAATGGACTCGACTGGTACGGACTCCAATGGAATGGAATCGAATGGACGGGAATCGAACGGAAGGGAATCGAACGGAATGGACTCGAAGGGAAAAGACTGCAATGGAAAGGTCTCGAATGGAATGGAAATTAATGGAATGGAATGGAATCGAATGAAATGGAGTCAAAAGGAATGGAATCGAATGGCAAGAAATCGAATGTAATGGAATCGCCAGGAATTGATGTGAACGGAACGGAATGGAATGGAATCCAAAGGAATGGAATAGAATGGAATGGAATCGAATGGAAAGGACTCGAATGGAAATCACTCGAATAGAATGCAATTTAATAAAATAGGATCAAATGTAATGTAATGGAATGGAAAGGAATCGAAACGAAAGGAATGGAGACAGATGGAATGGAATGGAACAGAGAGCAATGGTATAGAATGGAATGGAATCATCTGGAATGGAATTGAATGGAATGGAATAATATGAAATGGAATGGAATGGAATGGAATGGAATGCCCTTGAATTAAATGGACTGGAATGGAATGGACTCAAACAGAGTGGAATGGAAAGTGTGGAGATAGAATGGAATGAACTCCTTTGGAATGGTGTAGTATGCAATGCAATCGACTGGCAGGGAATCAAAAGGAATGTAATCGAATGGATTGGACTGGAATGCAATGGACTCGAATAGATTGGAAACGGAATGCAAAGGAATGGAATGGAATAGTATGGAATGCAATGGAAGGGAATGGAGTGGAATAGACTAGAGTGGAATGGAATGGACTGGAAAGCAATGGACTGGAATGGAACTTTCTTGGATGGACTGGAATCAAACGGAATGGAATGTAGTGCAATCAAATGGCATGGAATAAAATAGAATGAAAGAGAATCAAATGGAATTGAATCGAATGGAATCGAATGGATTGGAAAGGAATAGAATGGAATGGAATGGAATTGACTCAAATGGAATGGACTAGAATGGAATGGATTCGAATGGAAGGCAAAGGAATGGAATCTATTGGAATGGACTGTAATGGAATGGAATGGAAGGGATTGGAATGGACTCGAATGGAATGGACTGCAATAGAAAGGATTCGAATGGAATGAAAAAGAATTGAATGGAATAGAACAGAATGGAATCAAATCGAATGAAATGGAATGGAATAGAAAGGAATGGAATGAAATGGAATGGAAAGGATTCGAATGGAATGCAATCGAATGGAATGGAATCGAACGGAATGGAATAAAATGGAAGAAAACTGGCAAGAAATGGAATCGAAATGAATGGAGTGTTATGGAACGGACTCAAAAGGAATTGAATGTAATAGAATGGAGTGGAGTGGACTCGAATATAATGGACTGGAATGGAATGAAATCACATGGAATGGGAACGAATGGAATGGAATGGAAAGGAATGGAATCGAATGGAAAGGAATCGAATGGAAGGGAATGAAATTGAATCAACACGAATGGAAGGGAATAGAATAGACTGTAATGGAATGGACTCGAATAGAACGGACACGAATGCTCAAATTAAATGGACTCGAATGGAATGGAAACGAAAGGAATGTCATCGAATGGAATTGAATCGATTGGAATGAAATCGCATAGAATGGAGTGGAATCAAATGGAATTGAATCGAAAGGAAAGGAAGCGAATGGACTGAAATGAAATGGAATGGAATTGAATGGAAAGTAATGCAATGGAATAGAATGGAACGAAATTTCACGGAATGGAATCAAACTGAATGGAATCAAATCAATGGAATCAAATCAAATGGAATGGAAAGGAATTGAATGGAGTAGATGGGATTGGATGGGATTGGAATGAAATGTACTGGAAAGGACTCGAATTTCATGAAACGGAATGGAATGAATTGGAACGGAATGGACTCGAATGGAATGGAATGTCATGGGATGGCATCAAATGGAATGGCATCAAATGGAATGGAATCGAATGCAATGGAATGCTATGGAATGGAATGGAATGCATTGGAATGGAATGTCCTCTAATGGAATGGATTCGAGTGGAATGGAATTGAATATAATGGAGTCGAATGAAATGGAATTGAAAGGAATGGGATCGAATACAATGGAATATACTGGAATGTAACGTAATGAACTCGAATGTAATTGACTGGAATGGAATGTACATGAATGGAATGTAATCGAATGGAAAGTAATCCAATGGAATAGAATCTAATGCAATAAAATCGACTCAGATAGAGTAGAATGTAATGGAATGGAGTGCAGTGCAATGGAATGGAATGGAATGGAATGCAATGGAATGGAATGGAATGGAATGGGATGGAATGGTATGGAATGGATAGTAATAGACTGGAGTGAAATGGACTGGAAAGGAATGGACTCAAATTGAAAGGGCTCGAAAGGAATGGAGTCAAATGGAATGGTCTGGAATGGAATGAACACGAATGTAATGCAACCCAATAGAATGGAATCGAATGGCATGGAATATAAAGAAATGGAATCGAAGAGAATGGAAACAAATGGAATGGAATTGAATGGAATGGAATTGAATGGAATGGGAACGAATGGAGTGAAATTGTATGCAGTAGAAGAGAATAGAATGGAATGCAAGCGAAAGGAAAGGAATGGATTGGAATGGAATGGAATTCATTGGAATGGAAGGGAATGTAGTGTAATGGACAGGCCTGGAATAAAGTGGAATGCTACGGTCTCGAATGGAATAAAAATGTATGGAATGGAATGCAATGAAACGGAATCGAATGTCATAGAATGTAATGGAATGCAAAAAAATGGAATCCAAAATCATTGACTGGAAAGGCTGGGTGTCGAAAGGAATTGACTCCAATGGAATGGAATCGAATGGAATGGAAGTGAATAGAATCGAACTAAATCGAATGGAATGGAATTGATAGGAACGGAATGGAAAAGAATGCAATGATTTGGCATGGAATGGAATCGAATGGCATCGAATGGAATGGAATGGAATGCAATGGAATGGAATGTATTAGAATGGAATGAACTTTAATGGAATGTACTCGAATGGATTCGACTGGAATGGAATGTTCTGGAAGTGAATGGACTCCAATGGAATGGATTCAAAAGGAATGGAATCGTACGGAATGGAATCTAATGGAATGGAATTAAATGGAAATGAATCAAATTGAATAGCACGGAATTGAATTGAATGGAATCGAATGCAATGGAATCTAATGAAACGGAAAGGAAAGGAATGGAATGGAATGGAATGGGCTGGAATGGAAAGGAATCGAAACGAATGGAATGGAATCGAAGTGAAGAGACTGGAATGGAATGCACTGGAATGGAAGGGAGTGTAATGGAAGGTTCTCGAAAAAAATGGAATCGAATGGAATGGAATTGAATGGAACGGAATAGAGTCGAATGGAATTGAATGGAATGGAATGGACTAGAGTGAAATGGAATCGAACCACAAGGAATGGACAGGAATAGAATGGTCTCGAATTGAATGGAATCGTATGGAATGGCATCAAACGGAATGGAATGGACAGCCACGGAATGGAATGCACTCGAATGCAATGGAGTCGAAACAAATGGACTGGAATAGAATGGACTCGACTGGTACGGACTCCAATGGAATGGAATCGAATGGAAGGGAATCGAACGGAAGGGAATCGAACGGAATGGACTCGAAGGGAAAAGACTGCAATGGAAAGGTCTCGAATGGAATGGAAATTAATGGAATGGAATGGAATCGAATGAAATGGAGTCAAAAGGAATGGAATCGAATGGCAAGAAATCGAATGTAATGGAATCGCCAGGAATTGATGTGAACGGAACGGAATGGAATGGAATCCAAAGGAATGGAATAGAATGGAATGGAATCGAATGGAATGGACTCGAATGGAATGGAATGTCATGGGATGGCATCAAATGGAATGGCATCAAATGGAATGGAATCGAATGCAATGGAATGCTATGGAATGGAATGGAATGCATTGGAATGGAATGTCCTCTAATGGAATGGATTCGAGTGGAATGGAATTGAATATAATGGAGTCGAATGAAATGGAATTGAAAGGAATGGGATCGAATACAATGGAATATACTGGAATGTAATGTAATGAACTCGAATGTAATTGACTGGAATGGAATGTACATGAATGGAATGTAATCGAATGGAAAGTAATCCAATGGAATAGAATCTAATGCAATAAAATCGACTCAGATAGAGTAGAATGTAATGGAATGGAGTGCAGTGCAAAGGAATGGAATGGAATGGAATGCAATGGAATGGAATGGAATGGAATGGAATGGAATGGAATGGAATGGAATGGGATGGAATGGTATGGAATGGATAGTAATGGACTGGAGTGAAATGGACTGGAAAGGAATGGACTCAAATTGAAAGGGCTCGAAAGGAATGGAGTCAAATGGAATGGTCTGGAATGGAATGAACACGAATGTAATGCAACCCAATAGAATGGAATCGAATGGCATGGAATATAAAGAAATGGAATCGAAGAGAATGGAAACAAATGGAATGGAATTGAATGGAATGGAATTGAATGGAATGGGAACGAATGGAGTGAAATTGTATGCAGTAGAAGAGAATAGAATGGAATGCAAGCGAAAGGAAAGGAATGGATTGGAATGGAATGGAATTCATTGGAATGGAAGGGAATGTAGTGTAATGGACAGGCCTGGAATAAAGTGGAATGCTACGGTCTCGAATGGAATAAAAATGTATGGAATGGAATGCAATGAAACGGAATCGAATGTCATAGAATGTAATGGAATGCAAAAAAATGGAATCCAAAATCATTGACTGGAAAGGCTGGGTGTCGAAAGGAATTGACTCCAATGGAATGGAATCGAATGGAATGGAAGTGAATAGAATCGAACTAAATCGAATGGAATGGAATTGATAGGAACGGAATGGAAAGGAATGCAATGATTTGGCATGGAATGGAATCGAATGGCATCGAATGGAATGGAATGGAATGCATGGAATGGAATGTATTAGAATGTAATGAACTTTAATGGAATGTACTCGAATGGATTCGACTGGAATGGAATGTTCTGGAAGTGAATGGACTCCAATGGAATGGATTCAAAAGGAATGGAATCGTACGGAATGGAATCTAATGGAATGGAATTAAATGGAAATGAATCAAATTGAATAGCACGGAATTGAATTGAATGGAATGGAATGCAATGGAATCTAATGAAACGGAAAGGAAAGGAATGGAATGGAATGGAATGGGCTGGAATGGAAAGGAATCGAAACGAATGGAATGGAATCGAACTGAAGAGACTGGAATGGAATGCACTGGAATGGAAGGGAGTGTAATGGAAGGTTGTCGAAAAAAATGGAATCGAATGGAATGGAATTGAATGGAACGGAATAGAGTCGAATGGAATTGAATGGAATGGAATGGACTAGAGTGAAATGGAATCGAACCACAAGGAATGGACAGGAATAGAATGGTCTCGAATTGAATGGAATCGTATGGAATGGCATCAAACGGAATGGAATGGACAGCCACGGAATGGAATGCACTCGAATGCAATGGAGTCGAAACTAATGGACTGGAATAGAATGGACTCGACTGGTACGGACTCCAATGGAATGGAATCGAATGGAAGGGAATCGAACGGAAGGGAATCGAACAGAATGGACTCGAAGGGAAAAGACTGCAATGGAAAGGTCTCGAATGGAATGGAAATTAATGGAATGGAATGGAATCGAATGAAATGGAGTCAAAAGGAATGGAATCGAATGGCAAGAAATCTAATGTAATCGAATCGCCAGGAATTGATGTGAACGGAACGGAATGGAATGGAATCCAAAGGAATGGAATAGAATGGAATGGAATCGAATGGAAAGGACTCGAATGGAAATCACTCGAATAGAATGCAATTTAATAAAATAGGATCAAATGTAATGGAATGGAATGGAAAGGAATCGAAACGAAAGGAATGGAGACAGATGGAATGGAATGGAACAGAGAGCAATGGTATAGAATGGAATGGAATCATCTGGAATGGAATTGAATGGAATGGAACAATATGAAATGGAATGGAATGGAATGGAATGGAATGCCCTTGAATTAAATGGACTGGAATGGAATGGACTCAAACAGAGTGGAATGGAAAGTGTGGAGATAGAATGGAATGAACTCCTTTGGAATGGTGTAGTATGCAATGCAATCGACTGGCAGGGAATCAAAAGGAATGTAATCGAATGGATTGGACTGGAATGCAATGGACTCGAATAGATTGGAAACGGAATGCAAAGGAATGGAATGGAATAGTATGGAATGCAATGGAAGGGAATGGAGTGGAATAGACTAGAGTGGAATGGAATGGACTGGAAAGCAATGGACTGGAATGGAACTTTCTTGGATGGACTGGAATCAAACGGAATGGAATGCAATGCAATCAAATGGCATGGAATAAAATAGAATGAAAGAGAATCAAATGGAATTGAATCGAATGGAATCGAATGGATTGGAAAGGAATAGAATGGAATGGAATGGAATGGACTCAAATGGAATGGACTAGAATGGAATGGATTCGAATGGAAGGCAAAGGAATGGAATCTATTGGAATGGTCTGTAATGGAATGGAATGGAAGGGATTGGAATGGACTCGAATGGAATGGACTGCAATAGAAAGGATTCGAATGGAATGAAAAAGAATTGAATGGAATAGAACAGAATGGAATCAAATCGAATGAAATGGAATGGAATAGAAAGGAATGGAATGAAATGGAATGGAAAGGATTCGAATGGAATGCAATCGAATGGAATGGAATCGAACGGAATGGAATAAAATGGAAGAAAACTGGCAAGAAATGGAATCGAAATGAATGGAGTGTTATGGAACGGACTCAAAAGGAATTGAATGTAATAGAATTGAGTGGAGTGGACTCGAATATAATGGACTGGAATGGAATGAAATCACATGGAATGGGAACGAATGGAATGGAATGGAAAGGAATGGAATCCAATGGAAAGGAATCGAATGGAAGGGAATGAAATTGAATCAACAGGAATGGAAGGGAATAGAATAGACGGTAATGGAATGGACTCGGATAGAATGGACACGAATGCTCAAATTAAATGGACTCGAATTGAATGGAAACGAAAGGAATGTTATCGAATGGAATTGAATCGATTGGAATGAAATCGCATAGAATGGAGTGGAATCAAATGGAATTGAATCGAAAGGAAAGGAAGCGAATGGACTGAAATGAAATGGAATGGAATTGAATGGAAAGTAATGCAATGGAATAGAATGGAACGAAATTTCACGGAATGGAATCAAACTGAATGGAATCAAATCAATGGAATCAAATCAAATGGAATGGAAAGGAATTGAATGGAGTAGATGGGATTGGATGGGATTGGAATGAAATGTACTGGAAAGGACTCGAATTTCATGAAACGGAATGGAATGAATTGGAACGGAATGGACTCGAATGGAATGGAATGTCATGGGATGGCATCAAATGGAATGACATCAAATGGAATGGAATCGAATGCAATGGAATGCTATGGAATGGAATGGAATGCATTGGAATGGAATGTCCGCTAATGGAATGGATTCGAGTGGAATGGAATTGAATATAATGGAGTCGAATGAAATGGAATTGAAAGGAATGGGATCGAATACAATGGAATATACTGGAATGTAACGTAATGAACTCGAATGTAATTGACTGGAATGGAATGTACATGAATGGAATGTAATCGAATGGAAAGTAATCCAATGGAATAGAATCTAATGCAATAAAATCGACTCAGATAGAGTAGAATGTAATGGAATGGAGTGCAGTGCAATGGAATGGAATGCAATGGAATGGAATGGAATGGAATGGAATGGAATGGAATGGAATGGAATGGAATGGAATGGGATGGAATGGTATGGAATGGATAGTAATGGACTGGAGTGAAATGGACTGGAAAGGAATGGACTCAAATTGAAAGGGCTCGAAAGGAATGGAGTCAAATGGAATGGTCTGGAATGGAATGAACACGAATGTAATGCAACCCAATAGAATGGAATCGAATGGCATGGAATATAAAGAAATGGAATCGAAGAGAATGGAAACAAATGGAATGGAATTGAATGGAATGGAATTGAATGGAATGGGAACGAATGGAGTGAAATTGTATGCAGTAGAAGAGAATAGAATGGAATGCAAGCGAAAGGAAAGGAATGGATTGGAATGGAATGGAA
This sequence comes from Homo sapiens, assembly GCF_000001405.40. Lineage (NCBI taxonomy): Eukaryota > Metazoa > Chordata > Mammalia > Primates > Hominidae > Homo > Homo sapiens. The sequence goes on from NC_000024.10 coordinate 56,682,355, forward strand.
TTCATTGGAATGGAAGGGAATGTAGTGTAATGGACAGGCCTGGAATAAAGTGGAATGCTACGGTCTCGAATGGAATAAAAATGTATGGAATGGAATGCAATGAAACGGAATCGAATGTCATAGAATGTAATGGAATGCAAAAAAATGGAATCCAAAATCATTGACTGGAAAGGCTGGGTGTCGAAAGGAATTGACTCCAATGGAATGGAATCGAATGGAATGGAAGTGAATAGAATCGAACTAAATCGAATGGAATGGAATTGATAGGAACGGAATGGAAAGGAATGCAATGATTTGGCATGGAATGGAATCGAATGGCATCGAATGGAATGGAATGGAATGCAATGGAATGGAATGTATTAGAATGTAATGAACTTTAATGGAATGTACTCGAATGGATTCGACTGGAATGGAATGTTCTGGAAGTGAATGGACTCCAATGGAATGGATTCAAAAGGAATGGAATCGTACGGAATGGAATCTAATGGAATGGAATTAAATGGAAATGAATCAAATTGAATAGCACGGAATTGAATTGAATGGAATCGAATGCAATGGAATCTAATGAAACGGAAAGGAAAGGAATGGAATGGAATGGAATGGGCTGGAATGGAAAGGAATCGAAACGAATGGAATGGAATCGAAGTGAAGAGACTGGAATGGAATGCACTGGAATGGAAGGGAGTGTAATGGAAGGTTCTCGAAAAAAATGGAATCGAATGGAATGGAATTGAATGGAACGGAATAGAGTCGAATGGAATTGAATGGAATGGAATGGACTAGAGTGAAATGGAATCGAACCACAAGGAATGGACAGGAATAGAATGGTCTCGAATTGAATGGAATCGTATGGAATGGCATCAAACGGAATGGAATGGACAGCCACGGAATGGAATGCACTCGAATGCAATGGAGTCGAAACAAATGGACTGGAATAGAATGGACTCGACTGGTACGGACTCCAATGGAATGGAATCGAATGGAAGGGAATCGAACGGAAGGGAATCGAACGGAATGGACTCGAAGGGAAAAGACTGCAATGGAAAGGTCTCGAATGGAATGGAAATTAATGGAATGGAATGGAATCGAATGAAATGGAGTCAAAAGGAATGGAATCGAATGGCAAGAAATCGAATGTAATGGAATCGCCAGGAATTGATGTGAACGGAACGGAATGGAATGGAATCCAAAGGAATGGAATAGAATGGAATGGAATCGAATGGAAAGGACTCGAATGGAAATCACTCGAATAGAATGCAATTTGATAAAATAGGATCAAATGTAATGGAATGGAATGGAAAGGAATCGAAACGAAAGGAATGGAGACAGATGGAATGGAATGGAACAGAGAGCAATGGTATAGAATGGAATGGAATCATCTGGAATGGAATTGAATGGAATGGAATAATATGAAATGGAATGGAATGGAATGGAATGGAATGCCCTTGAATTAAATGGACTGGAATGGAATGGACTCAAACAGAGTGGAATGGAAAGTGTGGAGATAGAATGGAATGAACTCCTTTGGAATGGTGTAGTATGCAATGCAATCGACTGGCAGGGAATCAAAAGGAATGTAATCGAATGGATTGGACTGGAATGCAATGGACTCGAATAGATTGGAAACGGAATGCAAAGGAATGGAATGGAATAGTATGGAATGCAATGGAAGGGAATGGAGTGGAATAGACTAGAGTGGAATGGAATGGACTGGAAAGCAATGGACTGAAATGGAACTTTCTTGGATGGACTGGAATCAAACGGAATGGAATGCAATGCAATCAAATGGCATGGAATAAAATAGAATGAAAGAGAATCAAATGGAATTGAATCGAATGGAATCGAATGGATTGGAAATGAATAGAATGGAATGGAATGGAATTGACTCAAATGGAATGGACTAGAATGGAATGGATTCGAATGGAAGGCAAAGGAATGGAATCTATTGGAATGGACTGTAATGGAATGGAATGGAAGGGATTGGAATGGACTCGAATGGAATGGACTGCAATAGAAAGGATTCGAATGGAATGAAAAAGAATTGAATGGAATAGAACAGAATGGAATCAAATCGAATGAAATGGAATGGAATAGAAAGGAATGGAATGAAATGGAATGGAAAGGATTCGAATGGAATGCAATCGAATGGAATGGAATCGAACGGAATGGAATAAAATGGAAGAAAACTGGCAAGAAATGGAATCGAAATGAATGGAGTGTTATGGAACGGACTCAAAAGGAATTGAATGTAATAGAATGGAGTGGAGTGGACTCGAATATAATGGACTGGAATGGAATGAAATCACATGGAATGGGAACGAATGGAATGGAATGGAAAGGAATGGAATCGAATGGAAAGGAATCGAATGGAAGGGAATGAAATTGAATCAACAGGAATGGAAGGGAATAGAATAGACTGTAATGGAATGGACTCGAATAGAATGGACACGAATGCTCAAATTAAATGGACTCGAATGGAATGGAAACGAAAGGAATGTCATCGAATGGAATTGAATCGATTGGAATGAAATCGCATAGAATGGAGTGGAATCAAATGGAATTGAATCGAAAGGAAAGGAAGCGAATGGACTGAAATGAAATGGAATGGAATTGAATGGAAAGTAATGCAATGGAATAGAATGGAACGAAATTTCACGGAATGGAATCAAACTGAATGGAATCAAATCAATGGAATCAAATCAAATGGAATGGAAAGGAATTGAATGGAGTAGATGGGATTGGATGGGATTGGAATGAAATGTACTGGAAAGGACTCGAATTTCATGAAACGGAATGGAATGAATTGGAACGGAATTGACTCGAATGGAATGGAATGTCATGGGATGGCATCAAATGGAATGACATCAAATGGAATGGAATCGAATGCAATGGAATGCTATGGAATGGAATGGAATGCATTGGAATGGAATGTCCGCTAATGGAATGGATTCGAGTGGAATGGAATTGAATATAATGGAGTCGAATGAAATCGAATTGAAAGGAATGGGATCGAATACAATGGAATATACTGGAATGTAACGTAATGAACTGGAATGTAATTGACTGGAATGGAATGTACATGAATGGAATGTAATCGAATGGAAAGTAATCCAATGGAATAGAATCTAATGCAATAAAATCGACTCAGATAGAGTAGAATGTAATGGAATGGAGTGCAGTGCAATGGAATGGAATGGAATGGAATGCAATGGAATGGAATGGAATGGAATGGAATGGAATGGAATGGGATGGAATGGTATGGAATGGATAGTAATGGACTGGAGTGAAATGGACTGGAAAGGAATGGACTCAAATTGAAAGGGCTCGAAAGGAATGGAGTCAAATGGAATGGTCTGGAATGGAATGAACACGAATGTAATGCAACCCAATAGAATGGAATCGAATGGCATGGAATATAAAGAAATGGAATCGAAGAGAATGGAAACAAATGGAATGGAATTGAATGGAATGGAATTGAATGGAATGGGAACGAATGGAGTGAAATTGTATGCAGTAGAAGAGAATAGAATGGAATGCAAGCGAAAGGAAAGGAATGGATTGGAATGGAATGGAATTCATTGGAATGGAAGGGAATGTAGTGTAATGGACAGGCCTGGAATAAAGTGGAATGCTACGGTCTCGAATGGAATAAAAATGTATGGAATGGAATGCAATGAAACGGAATCGAATGTCATAGAATGTAATGGAATGCAAAAAAATGGAATCCAAAATCATTGACTGGAAAGGCTGGGTGTCGAAAGGAATTGACTCCAATGGAATGGAATCGAATGGAATGGAAGTGAATAGAATCGAACTAAATCGAATGGAATGGAATTGATAGGAACGGAATGGAAAGGAATGCAATGATTTGGCATGGAATGGAATCGAATGGCATCGAATGGAATGGAATGGAATGCATGGAATGGAATGTATTAGAATGTAATGAACTTTAATGGAATGTACTCGAATGGATTCGACTGGAATGGAATGTTCTGGAAGTGAATGGACTCCAATGGAATGGATTCAAAAGGAATGGAATCGTACGGAATGGAATCTAATGGAATGGAATTAAATGGAAATGAATCAAATTGAATAGCACGGAATTGAATTGAATGGAATGGAATGCAATGGAATCTAATGAAACGGAAAGGAAAGGAATGGAATGGAATGGAATGGGCTGGAATGGAAAGGAATCGAAACGAATGGAATGGAATCGAAGTGAAGAGACTGGAATGGAATGCACTGGAATGGAAGGGAGTGTAATGCAAGGTTCTCGAAAAAAATGGAATCGAATGGAATGGAATTGAATGGAACGGAATAGAGTCGAATGGAATTGAATGGAATGGAATGGACTAGAGTGAAATGGAATCGAACCACAAGGAATGGACAGGAATAGAATGGTCTCGAATTGAATGGAATCGTATGGAATGGCATCAAACGGAATGGAATGGACAGCCACGGAATGGAATGCACTCGAATGCAATGGAGTCGAAACTAATGGACTGGAATAGAATGGACTCGACTGGTACGGACTCCAATGGAATGGAATCGAATGGAAGGGAATCGAACGGAATGGACTCGAAGGGAAAAGACTGCAATGGAAAGGTCTCGAATGGAATGGAAATTAATGGAAAGGAATGGAATCGAATGAAATGGAGTCAAAAGGAATGGAATCGAATGGCAAGAAATCGAATGTAATGGAATCGCCAGGAATTGATGTGAACGGAACGGAATGGAATGGAATCCAAAGGAATGGAATAGAATGGAATGGAATCGAATGGAAAGGACTCGAATGGAAATCACTCGAATAGAATGCAATTTAATAAAATGGGATCAAATGTAATGGAATGGAATGGAAAGGAATTGAAACGAAAGGAATGGAGACAGATGGAATGGAATGGAATAGAGAGCAATGGTATAGAATGGAATGGAATCATCTGGAATGGAATTGAATGGAATGGAATAATATGAAATGGAATGGAATGGAATGGAATGGAATGCCCTTGAATTAAATGGACTGGAATGGAATGGACTCAAACAGAGTGGAATGGAAAGTGTGGAGATAGAATGGAATGAACTCCTTTGGAATGGTGTAGTATGCAATGCAATCGACTGGCAGGGAATCAAAAGGAATGTAATCGAATGGATTGGACTGAAATGCAATGGACTCGAATAGATTGGAAACGGAACGCAAAGGAATGGAATGGAATAGTATGGAATGCAATGGAAGGGAATGGAGTGGAATAGACTAGAGTGGAATGGAATGGACTGGAAAGCAATGGACTGGAATGGAACATTCTTGGATGGACTGGAATCAAACGGAATGGAATGCAATGCAATCAAATGGCATGGAATAAAATAGAATGAAAGAGAATCAAATGGAATTGAATCGAATGGAATCGAATGGATTGGAAAGGAATAGAATGGAATGGAATGGAATTGACTCAAATGGAATGGACTAGAATGGAATGGATTCGAATGGAAGGCAAAGGAATGGAATCTATTGGAATGGACTGTAATGGAATGGAATGGAAGGGATTGGAATGGACTCGAATGGAATGGACTGCAATAGAAAGGATTCGAATGGAATGAAAAAGAATTGAATGGAATAGAACAGAATGGAATCAAATCGAATGAAATGGAATGGAATAGAAAGGAATGGAATGAAATGGAATGGAAAGGATTCGAATGGAATGCAATCGAATGGAATGGAATCGAACGGAATGGAATAAAATGGAAGAAAACTGGCAAGAAATGGAATCGAAATGAATGGAGTGTTATGGAACGGACTCAAAAGGAATTGAATGTAATAGAATGGAGTGGAGTGGACTCGAATATAATGGACTGGAATGGAATGAAATCACATGGAATGGGAACGAATGGAATGGAATGGAAAGGAATGGAATCGAATGGAAAGGAATCGAATGGAAGTGAATGAAATTGAATCAACACGAATGGAAGGGAATAGAATAGACTGTAATGGAATGGACTCGAATAGAATGGACACGAATGCTCAAATTAAATGGACTCGAATGGAATGGAAACGAAAGGAATGTCATCGAATGGAATTGAATCAATTGGAATGAAATCGCATAGAATGGAGTGGAATCAAATGGAATTGAATCGAAAGGAAAGGAAGCGAATGGACTGAAATGAAATGGAATGGAATTGAATGGAAAGTAATGCAATGGAATAGAATGGAACGAAATTTCACGGAATGGAATCAAACTGAATGGAATCAAATCAATGGAATCAAATCAAATGGAATGGAAAGGAATTGAATGGAGTAGATGGGATTGGATGGGATTGGAATGAAATGTACTGGAAAGGACTCGAATTTCATGAAACGGAATGGAATGAATTGGAACGGAATGGACTCGAATGGAATGGAATGTCATGGGATGGCATCAAATGGAATGGCATCAAATGGAATGGAATCGAATGCAATGGAATGCTATGGAATGGAATGGAATGCATTGGAATGGAATGTCCTCTAATGGAATGGATTCGAGTGGAATGGAATTGAATATAATGGAGTCGAATGAAATGGAATTGAAAGGAATGGGATCGAATACAATGGAATATACTGGAATGTAACGTAATGAACTCGAATGTAATTGACTGGAATGGAATGTACATGAATGGAATGTAATCGAATGGAAAGTAATCCAATGGAATAGATTCTAATGCAATAAAATCGACTCAGATAGAGTAGAATGTAATGGAATGGAGTGCAGTGCAATGGAATGGAATGGAATGGAATGCAATGGAATGGAATGGAATGGAATGGAATGGAATGGAATGGAATGGGATGGAATGGTATGGAATGGATAGTAATGGACTGGAGTGAAATGGACTGGAAAGGAATGGACTCAAATTGAAAGGGCTCGAAAGGAATGGAGTCAAATGGAATGGTCTGGAATGGAATGAACACGAATGTAATGCAACCCAATAGAATGGAATCGAATGGCATGGAATATAAAGAAATGGAATCGAAGAGAATGGAAACAAAGGGAATGGAATTGAATGGAATGGAATTGAATGGAATGGGAACGAATGGAGTGAAATTGTATGCAGTAGAAGAGAATAGAATGGAATGCAAGCGAAAGGAAAGGAATGGATTGGAATGGAATGGAATTCATTGGAATGGAAGGGAATGTAGTGTAATGGACAGGCCTGGAATAAAGTGGAATGCTACGGTCTCGAATGGAATAAAAATGTATGGAATGGAATGCAATGAAACGGAATCGAATGTCATAGAATGTAATGGAATGCAAAAAAATGGAATCCAAAATCATTGACTGGAAAGGCTGGGTGTCGAAAGGAATTGACTCCAATGGAATGGAATCGAATGGAATGGAAGTGAATAGAATCGAACTAAATCGAATGGAATGGAATTGATAGGAACGGAATGGAAAGGAATGCAATGATTTGGCATGGAATGGAATCGAATGGCATCGAATGGAATGGAATGGAATGCAATGGAATGGAATGTATTAGAATGTAATGAACTTTAATGGAATGTACTCGAATGGATTCGACTGGAATGGAATGTTCTGGAAGTGAATGGACTCCAATGGAATGGATTCAAAAGGAATGGAATCGTACGGAATGGAATCTAATGGAATGGAATTAAATGGAAATGAATCAAATTGAATAGCACGGAATTGAATTGAATGGAATGGAATGCAATGGAATCTAATGAAACGGAAAGGAAAGGAATGGAATGGAATGGAATGGGCTGGAATGGAAAGGAATCGAAACGAATGGAATGGAATCGAACTGAAGAGACTGGAATGGAATGCACTGGAATGGAAGGGAGTGTAATGGAAGGTTCTCGAAAAAAATGGAATCGAATGGAATGGAATTGAATGGAACGGAATAGAGTCGAATGGAATTGAATGGAATGGAATGGACTAGAGTGAAATGGAATCGAACCACAAGGAATGGACAGGAATAGAATGGTCTCGAATTGAATGGAATCGTATGGAATGGCATCAAACGGAATGGAATGGACAGCCACGGAATGGAATGCACTCGAATGCAATGGAGTCGAAACAAATGGACTGGAATAGAATGGACTCGACTGGTACGGACTCCAATGGAATGGAATCGAATGGAAGGGAATCGAACGGAAGGGAATCGAACGGAATGGACTCGAAGGGAAAAGACTGCAATGGAAAGGTCTCGAATGGAATGGAAATTAATGGAATGGAATGGAATCGAATGAAATGGAGTCAAAAGGAATGGAATCGAATGGCAAGAAATCGAATGTAATGGAATCGCCAGGAATTGATGTGAACGGAACGGAATGGAATGGAATCCAAAGGAATGGAATAGAATGGAATGGAATCGAATGGAAAGGACTCGAATGGAAATCACTCGAATAGAATGCAATTTAATAAAATGGGATCAAATGTAATGGAATGGAATGGAAAGGAATTGAAACGAAAGGAATGGAGACAGATGGAATGGAATGGAATAGAGAGCAATGGTATAGAATGGAATGGAATCATCTGGAATGGAATTGAATGGAATGGAATAATATGAAATGGAATGGAATGGAATGGAATGGAATGCCCTTGAATTAAATGGACTGGAATGGAATGGACTCAAACAGAGTGGAATGGAAAGTGTGGAGATAGAATGGAATGAACTCCTTTGGAATGGTGTAGTATGCAATGCAATCGACTGGCAGGGAATCAAAAGGAATGTAATCGAATGGATTGGACTGGAATGCAATGGACTCGAATAGATTGGAAACGGAATGCAAAGGAATGGAATGGAATAGTATGGAATGCAATGGAAGGGAATGGAGTGGAATAGACTAGAGTGGAATGGAATGGACTGGAAAGCAATGGACTGGAATGGAACTTTCTTGGATGGACTGGAATCAAACGGAATGGAATGCAATGCAATCAAATGGCATGGAATAAATTAGAATGAAAGAGAATCAAATGGAATTGAATCGAATGGAATCGAATGGATTGGAAAGGAATAGAATGGAATGGAATGGAATTGACTCAAATGGAATGGACTAGAATGGAATGGATTCGAATGGAAGGCAAAGGAATGGAATCTATTGGAATGGACTGTAATGGAATGGAATGGAAGGGATTGGAATGGACTCGAATGGAATGGACTGCAATAGAAAGGATTCGAATGGAATGAAAAAGAATTGAATGGAATAGAACAGAATGGAATGAAATCGAATGAAATGGAATGGAATAGAAAGGAATGGAATGAAATGGAATGGAAAGGATTCGAATGGAATGCAATCGAATGGAATGGAATCGAACGGAATGGAATAAAATGGAAGAAAACTGGCAAGAAATGGAATCGAAATGAATGGAGTGTTATGGAACGGACTCAAAAGGAATTGAATGTAATAGAATGGAGTGGAGTGGACTCGAATATAATGGACTGGAATGGAATGAAATCACATGGAATGGGAACGAATGGAATGGAATGGAAAGGAATGGAATCGAATGGAAAGGAATCGAATGGAAGGGAATGAAATTGAATCAACAGGAATGGAAGGGAATAGAATAGACTGTAATGGAATGGACTCGAATAGAATGGACACGAATGCTCAAATTAAATGGACTCGAATGGAATGGAAACGAAAGGAATGTCATCGAATGGAATTGAATCGATTGGAATGAAATCGCATAGAATGGAGTGGAATCAAATGGAATTGAATCGAAAGGAAAGGAAGCGAATGGACTGAAATGAAATGGAATGGAATTGAATGGAAAGTAATGCAATGGAATAGAATGGAACGAAATTTCACGGAATGGAATCAAACTGAATGGAATCAAATCAATGGAATCAAATCAAATGGAATGGAAAGGAATTGAATGGAGTAGATGGGATTGGATGGGATTGGAATGAAATGTACTGGAAAGGACTCGAATTTCATGAAACGGAATGGAATGAATTGGAACGGAATGGACTCGAATGGAATGGAATGTCATGGGATGGCATCAAATGGAATGGCATCAAATGGAATGGAATCGAATGCAATGGAATGCTATGGAATGGAATGGAATGCATTGGAATGGAATGTCCTCTAATGGAATGGATTCGAGTGGAATGGAATTGAATATAATGGAGTCGAATGAAATGGAATTGAAAGGAATGGGATCGAATACAATGGAATATAGTGGAATGTAACGTAATGAACTCGAATGTAATTGACTGGAATGGAATGTACATGAATGGAATGTAATCGAATGGAAAGTAATCCAATGGAATAGAATCTAATGCAATAAAATCGACTCAGATAGAGTAGAATGTAATGGAATGGAGTGCAGTGCAATGGAATGGAATGGAATGGAATGCAATGGAATGGAATGGAATGGAATGGGATGGAATGGTATGGAATGGATAGTAATAGACTGGAGTGAAATGGACTGGAAAGGAATGGACTCAAATTGAAAGGGCTCGAAAGGAATGGAGTCAAATGGAATGGTCTGGAATGGAATGAACACGAATGTAATGCAACCCAATAGAATGGAATCGAATGGCATGGAATATAAAGAAATGGAATCGAAGAGAATGGAAACAAAGGGAATGGAATTGAATGGAATGGAATTGAATGGAATGGGAACGAATGGAGTGAAATTGTATGCAGTAGAAGAGAATAGAATGGAATGCAAGCGAAAGGAAAGGAATGGATTGGAATGGAATGGAATTCATTGGAATGGAAGGGAATGTAGTGTAATGGACAGGCCTGGAATAAAGTGGAATGCTACGGTCTCGAATGGAATAAAAATGTATGGAATGGAATGCAATGAAACGGAATCGAATGTCATAGAATGTAATGGAATGCAAAAAAATGGAATCCAAAATCATTGACTGGAAAGGCTGGGTGTCGAAAGGAATTGACTCCAATGGAATGGAATCGAATGGAATGGAAGTGAATAGAATCGAACTAAATCGAATGGAATGGAATTGATAGGAACGGAATGGAAAGGAATGCAATGATTTGGCATGGAATGGAATCGAATGGCATCGAATGGAATGGAATGGAATGCAATGGAATGGAATGTATTAGAATGTAATGAACTTTAATGGAATGTACTCGAATGGATTCGACTGGAATGGAATGTTCTGGAAGTGAATGGACTCCAATGGAATGGATTCAAAAGGAATGGAATCGTACGGAATGGAATCTAATGGAATGGAATTAAATGGAAATGAATCAAATTGAATAGCACGGAATTGAATTGAATGGAATGGAATGCAATGGAATCTAATGAAACGGAAAGGAAAGGAATGGAATGGAATGGAATGGGCTGGAATGGAAAGGAATCGAAACGAATGGAATGGAATCGAACTGAAGAGACTGGAATGGAATGCACTGGAATGGAAGGGAGTGTAATGGAAGGTTGTCGAAAAAAATGGAATCGAATGGAATGGAATTGAATGGAACGGAATAGAGTCGAATGGAATTGAATGGAATGGAATGGACTAGAGTGAAATGGAATCGAACCACAAGGAATGGACAGGAATAGAATGGTCTCGAATTGAATGGAATCGTATGGAATGGCATCAAACGGAATGGAATGGACAGCCACGGAATGGAATGCACTCGAATGCAATGGAGTCGAAACAAATGGACTGGAATAGAATGGACTCGACTGGTACGGACTCCAATGGAATGGAATCGAATGGAAGGGAATCGAACGGAAGGGAATCGAACGGAATGGACTCGAAGGGAAAAGACTGCAATGGAAAGGTCTCGAATGGAATGGAAATTAATGGAATGGAATGGAATCGAATGAAATGGAGTCAAAAGGAATGGAATCGAATGGCAAGAAATCGAATGTAATGGAATCGCCAGGAATTGATGTGAACGGAACGGAATGGAATGGAATCCAAAGGAATGGAATAGAATGGAATGGAATCGAATGGAAAGGACTCGAATGGAAATCACTCGAATAGAATGCAATTTAATAAAATAGGATCAAATGTAATGGAATGGAATGGAAAGGAATCGAAACGAAAGGAATGGAGACAGATGGAATGGAATGGAACAGAGAGCAATGGTATAGAATGGAATGGAATCATCTGGAATGGAATTGAATGGAATGGAATAATATGAAATGGAATGGAATGGAATGGAATGGAATGCCCTTGAATTAAATGGACTGGAATGGAATGGACTCAAACAGAGTGGAATGGAAAGTGTGGAGATAGAATGGAATGAACTCCTTTGGAATGGTGTAGTATGCAATGCAATCGACTGGCAGGGAATCAAAAGGAATGTAATCGAATGGATTGGACTGGAATGCAAAGGACTCGAATAGATTGGAAACGGAATGCAAAGGAATGGAATGGAATAGTATGGAATGCAATGGAAGGGAATGGAGTGGAATAGACTAGAGTGGAATGGAATGGACTGGAAAGCAATGGACTGGAATGGAACTTTCTTGGATGGACTGGAATCAAACGGAATGGAATGCAATGCAATCAAATGGCATGGAATAAAATAGAATGAAAGAGAATCAAATGGAATTGAATCGAATGGAATCGAATGGATTGGAAAGGAATAGAATGGAATGGAATGGAATGGACTCAAATGGAATGTACTAGAATGGAATGGATTCGAATGGAAGGCAAAGGAATGGAATCTATTGGAATGGACTGTAATGGAATGGAATGGAAGGGATTGGAATGGACTCGAATGGAATGGACTGCAATAGAAAGGATTCGAATGGAATGAAAAAGAATTGAATGGAATAGAACAGAATGGAATCAAATCGAATGAAATGGAATGGAATAGAAAGGAATGGAATGAAATGGAATGGAAAGGATTCGAATGGAATGCAATCGAATGGAATGGAATCGAACGGAATGGAAGAAAATGGAAGAAAACTGGCAAGAAATGGAATCGAAATGAATGGAGTGTTATGGAACGGGCTCAAAAGGAATTGAATGTAATAGAATGGAGTGGAGTGGACTCGAATATAATGGACTGGAATGGAATGAAATCACATGGAATGGGAACGAATGGAATGGAATGGAAAGGAATGGAATCGAATGGAAAGGAATCGAATGGAAGGGAATGAAATTGAATCAACAGGAATGGAAGGGAATAGAATAGACTGTAATGGAATGGACTCGAATAGAATGGACACGAATGCTCAAATTAAATGGACTCGAATGGAATGGAAACGAAAGGAATGTCACCGAATGGAATTCAATCGATTGGAATGAAATCGCATAGAATGGAGTGGAATCAAATGGAATTAAATCGAAAGGAAAGGAAGCGAATGGACTGAAATGAAATGGAATGGAATTGAATGGAAAGTAATGCAATGGAATAGAATGGAACGAAATTTCACGGAATGGAATCAAACTGAATGGAATCAAATCAATGGAATCAAATCAAATGGAATGGAAAGGAATTGAATGGAGTAGATGGGATTGGATGGGATTGGAATGAAATGTACTGGAAAGGACTCGAATTTCATGAAACGGAATGGAATGAATTGGAACGGAATGGACTCGAATGGAATGGAATGTCATGGGATGGCATCAAATGTAATGGCATCAAATGGAATGGAATCGAATGCAGTGGAATGCTATGGAATGGAATGGAATGCATTGGAATGGAATGTCCTCTAATGGAACGGATTCGAGTGGAATGGAATTGAATATAATGGAGTCGAATGAAATGGAATTGAAAGGAATGGGATCGAATACAATGGAATATACTGGAATGTAACGTAATGAACTCGAATGTAATTGACTGGAATGGAATGTACATGAATGGAATGTAATCGAATGGAAAGTAATCCAATGGAATAGAATCTAATGCAATAAAATCGACTCAGATAGAGTAGAATGTAATGGAATGGAGTGCAGTGCAATGGAATGGAATGGAATGGAATGCAATGGAATGGAATGGAATGGAATGGAATGGAATGGAATGGAATGGAATGGGATGGAATGGTATGGAATGGATAGTAATGGACTGGAGTGAAATGGACTGGAAAGGAATGGACTCAAATTGAAAGGGCTCGAAAGGAATGGAGTCAAATGGAATGGTCTGGAATGGAATGAACACGAATGTAATGCAACCCAATAGAATGGAATCGAATGGCATGGAATATAAAGAAATGGAATCGAAGAGAATGGAAACAAATGGAATGGAATTGAATGGAATGGAATTGAATGGAATGGGAACGAATGGAGTGAAATTGTATGCAGTAGAAGAGAATAGAATGGAATGCAAGCGAAAGGAAAGGAATGGATTGGAATGGAATGGAATTCATTGGAATGGAAGGGAATGTAGTGTAATGGACAGGCCTGGAATAAAGTGGAATGCTACGGTCTCGAATGGAATAAAAATGTATGGAATGGAATGCAATGAAACGGAATCGAATGTCATAGAATGTAATGGAATGCAAAAAAATGGAATCCAAAATCACTGACTGGAGAGGCTGGGTGTCGAAAGGAATTGACTCCAATGGAATGGAATCGAATGGAATGGAAGTGAATAGAATCGAACTAAATCGAATGGAATGGAATTGATAGGAACGGAATGGAAAGGAATGCAATGATTTGGCATGGAATGGAATCGAATGGCATCGAATGGAATGGAATGGAATGCAATGGAATGGAATGTATTAGAATGTAATGAACTTTAATGGAATGTACTCGAATGGATTCGACTGGAATGGAATGTTCTGGAAGTGAATGGACTCCAATGGAATGGATTCAAAAGGAATGGAATCGTACGGAATGGAATCTAATGGAATGGAATTAAATGGAAATGAATCAAATTGAATAGCACGGAATTGAATTGAATGGAATGGAATGCAATGGAATCTAATGAAACGGAAAGGAAAGGAATGGAATGGAATGGGCTGGAATGGATAGGAATCGAAACGAATGGAATGGAATCGAAGTGAAGAGACTGTAATGGAATGCACTGGAATGGAAGGGAGTGTAATGGAAGGCTCTCGAAAAAAATGGAATCGAATGGAATGGAATTGAATGGAACGGAATAGAGTCGAATGGAATTGAATGGAATGGAATGGACTAGAGTGAAATGGAATCGAACCACAAGGAATGGACAGGAATAGAATGGTCTCGAATTGAATGGAATCGTATGGAATGGCATCAAACGGAATGGAATGGACAGCCACGGAATGGAATGCACTCGAATGCAATGGAGTCGAAACTAATGGACTGGAATAGAATGGACTCGACTGGTACGGACTCCAATGGAATGGAATCGAATGGAAGGGAATCGAACGGAATGGAATCGAACGGAATGGACTCGAAGGGAAAAGACTGCAATGGAAAGGTCTCGAATGGAATGGAAATTAATGGAATGGAATGGAATCGAATGAAATGGAGTCAAAAGGAATGGAATCGAATGGCAAGAAATCGAATGTAATGGAATCGCCAGGAATTGATGTGAACGGAACGGAATGGAATGGAATCCAAAGGAATGGAATAGAATGGAATGGAATCGAATGGAAAGGACTCGAATGGAAATCACTCGAATAGAATGCAATTTAATAAAATAGGATCAAATGTAATGGAATGGAATGGAAAGGAATCGAAACGAAAGGAATGGAGACAGATGGAATGGAATGGAACAGAGAGCAATGGTATAGAATGGAATGGAATCATCTGGAATGGAATTGAATGGAATGGAATAATATGAAATGGAATGGAATGGAATGGAATGGAATGCCCTTGAATTAAATGGACTGGAATGGAATGGACTCAAACAGAGTGGAATGGAAAGTGTGGAGATAGAATGGAATGAACTCCTTTGGAATGGTGTAGTATGCAATGCAATCGACTGGCAGGGAATCAAAAGGAATGTAATCGAATGGATTGGACTGGAATGCAATGGACTCGAATAGATTGGAAACGGAATGCAAAGGAATGGAATGGAATAGTATGGAATGCAATGGAAGGGAATGGAGTGGAATAGACTAGAGTGGAATGGAATGGACTGGAAAGCAATGGACTGGAATGGAACTTTCTTGGATGGACTGGAATCAAACGGAATGGAATGCAATGCAATCAAATGGCATGGAATAAAATAGAATGAAAGAGAATCAAATGGAATTGAATCGAATGGAATCGAATGGATTGGAAATGAATAGAATGGAATGGAATGGAATTGACTCAAATGGAATGGACTAGAATGGAATGGATTCGAACGGAAAGCAAAGGAATGGAATCTATTGGAATGGACTGTAATGGAATGGAATGGAAGGGATTGGAATGGACTCGAATGGAATGGACTGCAATAGAAAGGATTCGAATGGAATGAAAAAGAATTGAATGGAATAGAACAGAATGGAATCAAATCGAATGAAATGGAATGGAATAGAAAGGAATGGAATGAAATGGAATGGAAAGGATTCGAATGGAATGCAATCGAATGGAATGGAATCGAACGGAATGGAATAAAATGGAAGAAAACTGGCAAGAAATGGAATCGAAATGAATGGAGTGTTATGGAACGGACTCAAAAGGAATTGAATGTAATAGAATGGAGTGGAGTGGACTCGAATATAATGGACTGGAATGGAATGAAATCACATGGAATGGGAACGAATGGAATGGAATGGAAAGGAATGGAATCGAATGGAAAGGAATCGAATGGAAGTGAATGAAATTGAATCAACACGAATGGAAGGGAATAGAATAGACTGTAATGGAATGGACTCGAATAGAATGGACACGAATGCTCAAATTAAATGGACTCGAATGGAATGGAAACGAAAGGAATGTCATCGAATGGAATTGAATCGATTGGAATGAAATCGCATAGAATGGAGTGGAATCAAATGGAATTGAATCGAAAGGAAAGGAAGCGAATGGACTGAAATGAAATGGAATGGAATTGAATGGAAAGTAATGCAATGGAATAGAATGGAACGAAATTTCACGGAATGGAATCAAACTGAATGGAATCAAATCAATGGAATCAAATCAAATGGAATGGAAAGGAATTGAATGGAGTAGATGGGATTGGATGGGATTGGAATGAAATGTACTGGAAAGGACTCGAATTTCATGAAACGGAATGGAATGAATTGGAACGGAATGGACTCGAATGGAATGGAATGTCATGGGATGGCATCAAATGGAATGGCATCAAATGGAATGGAATCGAATGCAATGGAATGCTATGGAATGGAATGGAATGCATTGGAATGGAAAGTCCTCTAATGGAATGGATTCGAGTGGAATGGAATTGAATATAATGGAGTCGAATGAAATGGAATTGAAAGGAATGGGATCGAATACAATGGAATATACTGGAATGTAACGTAATGAACTCGAATGTAATTGACTGGAAAGGAATGTACATGAATGGAATGTAATCGAATGGAAAGTAATCCAATGGAATAGAATCTAATGCAATAAAATCGACTCAGATAGAGTAGAATGTAATGGAATGGAGTGCAGTGCAATGGAATGGAATGGAATGGAATGCAATGGAATGGAATGGAATGGAATGGAATGGAATGGAATGGAGTGGGATGGAATGGTATGGAATGGATAGTAATGGACTGGTGTGAAATGGACTGGAAAGGAATGGACTCAAATTGAAAGGGCTCGAAAGGAATGGAGTCAAATGGAATGGTCTGGAATGGAATGAACACGAATGTAATGCAACCCAATAGAATGGAATCGAATGGCATGGAATATAAAGAAATGGAATCGAAGAGAATGGAAACAAATGGAATGGAATTGAATGGAATGGAATTGAATGGAATGGGAACGAATGGAGTGAAATTGTATGCAGTAGAAGAGAATAGAATGGAATGCAAGCGAAAGGAAAGGAATGGATTGGAATGGAATGGAATTCATTGGAATGGAAGGGAATGTAGTGTAATGGACAGGCCTGGAATAAAGTGGAATGCTACGGTCTCGAATGGAATAAAAATGTATGGAATGGAATGCAATGAAACGGAATCGAATGTCATAGAATGTAATGGAATGCAAAAAAATGGAATCCAAAATCACTGACTGGAGAGGCTGGGTGTCGAAAGGAATTGACTCCAATGGAATGGAATCGAATGGAATGGAAGTGAATAGAATCGAACTAAATCGAATGGAATGGAATTGATAGGAACGGAATGGAAAGGAATGCAATGATTTGGCATGGAATGGAATCGAATGGCATCGAATGGAATGGAATGGAATGCAATGGAATGGAATGTATTAGAATGTAATGAACTTTAATGGAATGTACTCGAATGGATTCGACTGGAATGGAATGTTCTGGAAGTGAATGGACTCCAATGGAATGGATTCAAAAGGAATGGAATCGTACGGAATGGAATCTAATGGAATGGAATTAAATGGAAATGAATCAAATTGAATAGCATGGAATTGAATTGAATGGAATGGAATGCAATGGAATCTAATGAAACGGAAAGGAAAGGAATGGAATGGAATGGAATGGGCTGGAATGGATAGGAATCGAAACGAATGGAATGGAATCGAAGTGAAGAGACTGTAATGGAATGCACTGGAATGGAAGGGAGTGTAATGGAAGGCTCTCGAAAAAAATGGAATCGAATGGAATGGAATTGAATGGAACGGAATAGAGTCGAATGGAATTGAATGGAATGGAATGGACTAGAGTGAAATGGAATCGAACCACAAGGAATGGACAGGAATAGAATGGTCTCGAATTGAATGGAATCGTATGGAATGGCATCAAACGGAATGGAATGGACAGCCACGGAATGGAATGCACTCGAATGCAATGGAGTCAAAACTAATGGACTGGAATAGAATGGACTCGACTGGTACGGACTCCAATGGAATGGAATCGAATGGAAGGGAATCGAACGGAATGGAATCGAACGGAATGGACTCGAAGGGAAAAGACTGCAATGGAAAGGTCTCGAATGGAATGGAAATTAATGGAATGGAATGGAATCGAATGAAATGGAGTCAAAAGGAATGGAATCGAATGGCAAGAAATCGAATGTAATGGAATCGCCAGGAATTGATGTGAACGGAACGGAATGGAATGGAATCCAAAGGAATGGAATAGAATGGAATGGAATCGAATGGAAAGGACTCGAATGGAAATCACTCGAATAGAATGCAATTTAACAAAATAGGATCAAATGGAATGGAATGGAATGGAAAGGAATGGAAACGAAAGGAATGGAGACAGATGGAATGGAATGGAACAGAGAGCAATGGTATAGAATGGAATGGAATCATCTGGAATGGAATTGAATGGAATGGAATAATATGAAATGGAATGGAATGGAATGGAATGGAATGCCCTTGAATTAAATGGACTGGAATGGAATGGACTCAAACAGAGTGGAATGGAAAGTGTGGAGATAGAATGGAATGAACTCCTTTGGAATGGTGTAGTATGCAATGCAATCGACTGGCAGGGAATCAAAAGGAATGTAATCGAATGGATTGGACTGGAATGCAATGGACTCGAATAGATTGGAAACGGAATGCAAAGGAATGGAATGGAATAGTATGGAATGCAATGGAAGGGAATGGAGTGGAATAGACTAGAGTGGAATGGAATGGACTGGAAAGCAATGGACTGGAATGGAACTTTCTTGGATGGACTGGAACCAAACGGAATGGAATGCAATGCAATCAAATGGCATGGAATAAAATAGAATGAAAGAGAATCAAATGGAATTGAATCGAATGGAATCGAATGGATTGGAAAGGAATAGAATGGAATGGAATGGAATTGACTCAAATGGAATGGACTAGAATGGAATGGATTCGAATGGAAGGCAAAGGAATGGAATCTATTGGAATGGACTGTAATGGAATGGAATGGAAGGGATTGGAATGGACTCGAATGGAATGGACTGCAATAGAAAGGATTCGAATGGAATGAAAAAGAATTGAATGGAATAGAACAGAATGGAATCAAATCGAATGAAATGGAATGGAATAGAAAGGAATGGAATGAAATGGAATGGAAAGGATTCGAATGGAATGCAATCGAATGGAATGGAATCGAACGGAATGGAATAAAATGGAAGAAAACTGGCAAGAAATGGAATCGAAATGAATGGAGTGTTATGGAACGGACTCAAAAGGAATTGAATGTAATAGAATGGAGTGGAGTGGACTCGAATATAATGGACTGGAATGGAATGAAATCACATGGAATGGGAACGAATGGAATGGAATGGAAAGGAATGGAATCGAATGGAAAGGAATCGAATGGAAGGGAATGAAATTGAATCAACAGGAATGGAAGGGAATAGAATAGACGGTAATGGAATGGACTCGAATAGAATGGACACGAATGCTCAAATTAAATGGACTCGAATGGAATGGAAACGAAAGGAATGTCATCGAATGGAATTGAATCGATTGGAATGAAATCGCATAGAATGGAGTGGAATCAAATGGAATTGAATCGAAAGGAAAGGAAGCGAATGGACTGAAATGAAATGGAATGGAATTGAATGGAAAGTAATGCAATGGAATAGAATGGAACGAAATTTCACGGAATGGAATCAAACTGAATGGAATCAAATCAATGGAATCAAATCAAATGGAATGGAAAGGAATTGAATGGAGTAGATGGGATTGGATGGGATTGGAATGAAATGTACTGGAAAGGACTCGAATTTCATGAAACGGAATGGAATGAATTGGAACGGAATTGACTCGAATGGAATGGAATGTCATGGGATGGCATCAAATGGAATGACATCAAATGGAATGGAATCGAATGCAATGGAATGCTATGGAATGGAATGGAATGCATTGGAATGGAATGTCCGCTAATGGAATGGATTCGAGTGGAATGGAATTGAATATAATGGAGTCGAATGAAATGGAATTGAAAGGAATGGGATCGAATACAATGGAATATACTGGAATGTAACGTAATGAACTCGAATGTAATTGACTGGAATGGAATGTACATGAATGGAATGTAATCGAATGGAAAGTAATCCAATGGAATAGAATCTAATGCAATAAAATCGACTCAGATAGAGTAGAATGTAATGGAATGGAGTGCAGTGCAATGGAATGGAATGGAATGGAATGCAATGGAATGGAATGGAATGGAATGGAATGGAATGGAATGGAATGGAATGGGATGGAATGGTATGGAATGGATAGTAATGGACTGGAGTGAAATGGACTGGAAAGGAATGGACTCAAATTGAAAGGGCTCGAAAGGAATGGAGTCAAATGGAATGGTCTGGAATGGAATGAACACGAATGTAATGCAACCCAATAGAATGGAATCGAATGGCATGGAATATAAAGAAATGGAATCGAAGAGAATGGAAACAAATGGAATGGAATTGAATGGAATGGAATTGAATGGAATGGGAACGAATGGAGTGAAATTGTATGCAGTAGAAGAGAATAGAATGGAATGCAAGCGAAAGGAAAGGAATGGATTGGAATGGAATGGAATTCATTGGAATGGAAGGGAATGTAGTGTAATGGACAGGCCTGGAATAAAGTGGAATGCTACGGTCTCGAATGGAATAAAAATGTATGGAATGGAATGCAATGAAACGGAATCGAATGTCATAGAATGTAATGGAATGCAAAAAAATGGAATCCAAAATCATTGACTGGAAAGGCTGGGTGTCGAAAGGAATTGACTCCAATGGAATGGAATCGAATGGAATGGAAGTGAATAGAATCGAACTAAATCGAATGGAATGGAATTGATAGGAACGGAATGGAAAAGAATGCAATGATTTGGCATGGAATGGAATCGAATGGCATCGAATGGAATGGAATGGAATGCAATGGAATGGAATGTATTAGAATGGAATGAACTTTAATGGAATGTACTCGAATGGATTCGACTGGAATGGAATGTTCTGGAAGTGAATGGACTCCAATGGAATGGATTCAAAAGGAATGGAATCGTACGGAATGGAATCTAATGGAATGGAATTAAATGGAAATGAATCAAATTGAATAGCACGGAATTGAATTGAATGGAATGGAATGCAATGGAATCTAATGAAACGGAAAGGAAAGGAATGGAATGGAATGGAATGGGCTGGAATGGAAAGGAATCGAAACGAATGGAATGGAATCGAAGTGAAGAGACTGGAATGGAATGCACTGGAATGGAAGGGAGTGTAATGGAAGGTTCTCGAAAAAAATGGAATCGAATGGAATGGAATTGAATGGAACGGAATAGAGTCGAATGGAATTGAATGGAATGGAATGGACTAGAGTGAAATGGAATCGAACCACAAGGAATGGACAGGAATAGAATGGTCTCGAATTGAATGGAATCGTATGGAATGGCATCAAACGGAATGGAATGGACAGCCACGGAATGGAATGCACTCGAATGCAATGGAGTCAAAACTAATGGACTGGAATAGAATGGACTCGACTGGTACGGACTCCAATGGAATGGAATCGAATGGAAGGGAATCGAACGGAATGGAATCGAACGGAATGGACTCGAAGGGAAAAGACTGCAATGGAAAGGTCTCGAATGGAATGGAAATTAATGGAATGGAATGGAATCGAATGAAATGGAGTCAAAAGGAATGGAATCGAATGGCAAGAAATCGAATGTAATGGAATCGCCAGGAATTGATGTGAACGGAACGGAATGGAATGGAATCCAAAGGAATGGAATAGAATGGAATGGAATCGAATGGAAAGGACTCGAATGGAAATCACTCGAATAGAATGCAATTTAATAAAATAGGATCAAATGTAATGGAATGGAATGGAAAGGAATCGAAACGAAAGGAATGGAGACAGATGGAATGGAATGGAACAGAGAGCAATGGTATAGAATGGAATGGAATCATCTGGAATGGAATTGAATGGAATGGAATAATATGAAATGGAATGGAATGGAATGGAATGGAATGCCCTTGAATTAAATGGACTGGAATGGAATGGACTCAAACAGAGTGGAATGGAAAGTGTGGAGATAGAATGGAATGAACTCCTTTGGAATGGTGTAGTATGCAATGCAATCGACTGGCAGGGAATCAAAAGGAATGTAATCGAATGGATTGGACTGGAATGCAATGGACTCGAATAGATTGGAAACGGAATGCAAAGGAATGGAATGGAATAGTATGGAATGCAATGGAAGGGAATGGAGTGGAATAGACTAGAGTGGAATGGAATGGACTGGAAAGCAATGGACTGGAATGGAACTTTCTTGGATGGACTGGAACCAAACGGAATGGAATGCAATGCAATCAAATGGCATGGAATAAAATAGAATGAAAGAGAATCAAATGGAATTGAATCGAATGGAATCGAATGGATTGGAAAGGAATAGAATGGAATGGAATGGAATTGACTCAAATGGAATGGACTAGAATGGAATGGATTGGAATGGAAGGCAAAGGAATGGAATCTATTGGAATGGACTGTAATGGAATGGAATGGAAGGGATTGGAATGGACTCGAATGGAATGGACTGCAATAGAAAGGATTCGAATGGAATGAAAAAGAATTGAATGGAATAGAACAGAATGGAATCAAATCGAATGAAATGGAATGGAATAGAAAGGAATGGAATGAAATGGAATGGAAAGGATTCGAATGGAATGCAATCGAATGGAATGGAATAAAATGGAAGAAAACTGGCAAGAAATGGAATCGAAATGAATGGAGTGTTATGGAACGGACTCAAAAGGAATTGAATGTAATAGAATGGAGTGGAGTGGACTCGAATATAATGGACTGGAATGGAATGAAATCACATGGAATGGGAACGAATGGAATGGAATGGAAAGGAATGGAATCGAATGGAAAGGAATCGAATGGAAGGGAATGAAATTGAATCAACAGGAATGGAAGGGAATAGAATAGACGGTAATGGAATGGACTCGAATAGAATGGACACGAATGCTCAAATTAAATGGACATGAATGGAATGGAAACGAAAGGAATGTCATCGAATGGAATTGAATCGATTGGAATGAAATCGCATAGAATGGAGTGGAATCAAATGGAATTGAATCGAAAGGAAAGGAAGCGAATGGACTGAAATGAAATGGAATGGAATTGAATGGAAAGTAATGCAATGGAATAGAATGGAACGAAATTTCACGGAATGGAATCAAACTGAATGGAATCAAATCAATGGAATCAAATCAAATGGAATGGAAAGGAATTGAATGGAGTAGATGGGATTGGATGGGATTGGAATGAAATGTACTGGAAAGGACTCGAATTTCATGAAACGGAATGGAATGAATTGGAACGGAATGGACTCGAATGGAATGGAATGTCATGGGATGGCATCAAACGGAATGGCATCAAATGGAATGGAATCGAATGCAATGGAATGCTATGGAATGGAATGGAATGCATTGGAATGGAATGTCCTCTAATGGAATGGATTCGAGTGGAATGGAATTGAATATAATGGAGTCGAATGAAATGGAATTGAAAGGAATGGGATCGAATACAATGGAATATACTGGAATGTAACGTAATGAACTCGAATGTAATTGACTGGAATGGAATGTACATGAATGGAATGTAATCGAATGGAAAGTAATCCAATGGAATAGAATCTAATGCAATAAAATCGACTCAGATAGAGTAGAATGTAATGGAATGGAGTGCAGTGCAATGGAATGGAATGGAATGGAATGCAATGGAATGGAATGGAATGGAATGGGATGGAATGGTATGGAATGGATAGTAATGGACTGGAGTGAAATGGACTGGAAAGGAATGGACTCAAATTGAAAGGGCACGAAAGGAATGGAGTCAAATGGAATGGTCTGGAATGGAATGAACACGAATGTAATGCAACCCAATAGAATGGAATCGAATGGCATGGAATATAAAGAAATGGAATCGAAGAGAATGGAAACAAATGGAATGGAATTGAATGGAATGGGAACGAATGGAGTGAAATTGTATGCAGTAGAAGTGAATAGAATGGAATGCAAGCGAAAGGAAAGGAATGGATTGGAATGGAATGGAATTCATTGGAATGGAAGGGAATGTAGTGTAATGGACAGGCCTGGAATAAAGTGGAATGCTACGGTCTCGAATGGAATAAAAATGTATGGAATGGAATGCAATGAAACGGAATCGAATGTCATAGAATGTAATGGAATGCAAAAAAATGGAATCCAAAATCATTGACTGGAAAGGCTGGGTGTCGAAAGGAATTGACTCCAATGGAATGGAATCGAATGGAATGGAAGTGAATAGAATCGAACTAAATCGAATGGAATGGAATTGATAGGAACGGAATGGAAAGGAATGCAATGATTTGGCATGGAATGGAATCGAATGGCATCGAATGGAATGGAATGGAATGCAATGGAATGGAATGTATTAGAATGTAATGAACTTTAATGGAATGTACTCGAATGGATTCGACTGGAATGGAATGTTCTGGAAGTGAATGGACTCCAATGGAATGGATTCAAAAGGAATGGAATCGTACGGAATGGAATCTAATGGAATGGAATTAAATGGAAATGAATCAAATTGAATAGCACGGAATTGAATTGAATGGAATCGAATGCAATGGAATCTAATGAAACGGAAAGGAAAGGAATGGAATGGAATGGAATGGGCTGGAATGGAAAGGAATCGAAACGAATGGAATGGAATCGAAGTGAAGAGACTGGAATGGAATGCACTGGAATGGAAGGGAGTGTAATGGAAGGTTCTCGAAAAAAATGGAATCGAATGGAATGGAATTGAATGGAACGGAATAGAGTCGAATGGAATTGAATGGAATGGAATGGACTAGAGTGAAATGGAATCGAACCACAAGGAATGGACAGGAATAGAATGGTCTCGAATTGAATGGAATCGTATGGAATGGCATCAAACGGAATGGAATGGACAGCCACGGAATGGAATGCACTCGAATGCAATGGAGTCGAAACTAATGGACTGGAATAGAATGGACTCGACTGGTACGGACTCCAATGGAATGGAATCGAATGGAAGGGAATCGAACGGAATGGAATCGAACGGAATGGACTCGAAGGGAAAAGACTGCAATGGAAAGGTCTCGAATGGAATGGAAATTAATGGAATGGAATGGAATCGAATGAAATGGAGTCAAAAGGAATGGAATCGAATGACAAGAAATCGAATGTAATGGAATCGCCAGGAATTGATGTGAACGGAACGGAATGGAATGGAATCCAAAGGAATGGAATAGAATGGAATGGAATCGAATGGAAAGGACTCGAATGGAAATCACTCGAATAGAATGCAATTTAATAAAATAGGATCAAATGTAATGGAATGGAATGGAAAGGAATCGAAACGAAAGGAATGGAGACAGATGGAATGGAATGGAACAGAGAGCAATGGTATAGAATGGAATGGAATCATCTGGAATGGAATTGAATGGAATGGAATAATATGAAATGGAATGGAATGGAATGGAATGGAATGCCCTTGAATTAAATGGACTGGAATGGAATGGACTCAAACAGAGTGGAATGGAAAGTGTGGAGATAGAATGGAATGAACTCCTTTGGAATGGTGTAGTATGCAATGCAATCGACTGGCAGGGAGTCAAAAGGTATGTAATCGAATGGATTGGACTGGAATGCAAAGGACTCGAATAGATTGGAAACGGAATGCAAAGGAATGGAATGGAATAGTATGGAATGCAATGGAAGGGAATGCAGTGGAATAGACTAGAGTGGAATGGAATGGACTGGAAAGCAATGGACTGGAATGGAACTTTCTTGGATGGACTGGAATCAAACGGAATGGAATGCAGTGCAATCAAATGGCATGGAATAAAATAGAATGAAAGAGAATCAAATGGAATTGAATCGAATGGAATCGAATGGATTGGAAAGGAATAGAATGGAATGGAATGGAATTGACTCAAATGGAATGGACTAGAATGGAATGGATTCGAATGGAAGGCAAAGGAATGGAAGGGATTGGAATGGACTGTAATGGAATGGAATGGACTGCAATAGAAAGGATTCGAATGGAATGAAAAAGAATTGAATGGAATAGAACAGAATGGAATCAAATCGAATGAAATGGAATGGAATAGAAAGGAATGGAATGAAATGGAATGGAAAGGATTCGAATGGAATGCAATCGAATGGAATGGAATCGAACGGAATGGAATAAAATGGAAGAAAACTGGCAAGAAATGGAATCGAAATGAATGGAGTGTTATGGAACGGACTCAAAAGGAATTGAATGTAATAGAATGGAGTGGAGTGGACTCGAATATAATGGACTGGAATGGAATGAAATCACATGGAATGGGAACGAATGGAATGGAATGGAAAGGAATGGAATCGAATGGAAAGGAATCGAATGGAAGGGAATGAAATTGAATCAACACGAATGGAAGGGAATAGAATAGACTGTAATGGAATGGACTCGAATAGAATGGACACGAATGCTCAAATTAAATGGACTCGAATGGAATGGAAACGAAAGGAATGTCATCGAATGGAATTGAATCGATTGGAATGACATCGCATAGAATGGAGTGGAATCAAATGGAATTGAATCGAAAGGAAAGGAAGCGAATGGACTGAAATGAAATGGAATGGAATTGAATGGAAAGTAATGCAATGGAATAGAATGGAACGAAATTTCACGGAATGGAATCAAACTGAATGGAATCAAATCAATGGAATCAAATCAAATGGAATGGAAAGGAATTGAATGGAGTAGATGGGATTGGATGGGATTGGAATGAAATGTACTGGAAAGGACTCGAATTTCATGAAACGGAATGGAATGAATTGGAACGGAATGGACTCGAATGGAATGGAATGTCATGGGATGGCATCAAATGTAATGGCATCAAATGGAATGGAATCGAATGCAGTGGAATGCTATGGAATGGAATGGAATGCATTGGAATGGAATGTCCTCTAATGGAATGGATTCGAGTGGAATGGAATTGAATATAATGGAGTCGAATGAAATGGAATTGAAAGGAATGGGATCGAATACAATGGAATATACTGGAATGTAACGTAATGAACTCGAATGTAATTGACTGGAATGGAATGTACATGAATGGAATGTAATCGAATGGAAAGTAATCCAATGGAATAGAATCTAATGCAATAAAATCGACTCAGTTAGAGTAGAATGTAATGGAATGGAGTGCAGTGCAATGGAATGGAATGGAATGGAATGCAATGGAATGGAATGGAATGGAATGGAATGGAATGGAATGGAATGGAATGGGATGGAATGGTATGGAATGGATAGTAATAGACTGGAGTGTAATGGACTGGAAAGGAATGGACTCAAATTGAAAGGGCTCGAAAGGAATGGAGTCAAATGGAATGGTCTGGAATGGAATGAACACGAATGTAATGCAACCCAATAGAATGGAATCGAATGGCATGGAATATAAAGAAATGGAATCGAAGAGAATGGAAACAAATGGAATGGAATTGAATGGAATGGAATTGAATGGAATGGGAACGAATGGAGTGAAATTGTATGCAGTAGAAGAGAATAGAATGGAATGCAAGCGAAAGGAAAGGAATGGATTGGAATGGAATGGAATTCATTGGAATGGAAGGGAATGTAGTGTAATGGACAGGTCTGGAATAAAGTGGAATGCTACGGTCTCGAATGGAATAAAAATGTATGGAATGGAATGCAATGAAACGGAATCGAATGTCATAGAATGTAATGGAATGCAAAAAAATGGAATCCAAAATCATTGACTGGAAAGGCTGGGTGTCGAAAGGAATTGACTCCAATGGAATGGAATCGAATGGAATGGAAGTGAATAGAATCGAACTAAATCGAATGGAATGGAATTGATAGGAACGGAATGGAAAGGAATGCAATGATTTGGCATGGAATGGAATCGAATGGCATCGAATGGAATGGAATGGAATGCAATGGAATGGAATGTATTAGAATGTAATGAACTTTAATGGAATGTACTCGAATGGATTCGACTGGAATGGAATGTTCTGGAAGTGAATGGACTCCAATGGAATGGATTCAAAAGGAATGGAATCGTACGGAATGGAATCTAATGGAATGGAATTAAATGGAAATGAATCAAATTGAATAGCACGGAATTGAATTGAATGGAATGGAATGCAATGGAATCTAATGAAACGGAAAGGAAAGGAATGGAATGGAATGGAATGGGCTGGAATGGATAGGAATCGAAACGAATGGAATGGAATCGAAGTGAAGAGACTGTAATGGAATGCACTGGAATGGAAGGGAGTGTAATGGAAGGCTCTCGAAAAAAATGGAATCGAATGGAATGGAATTGAATGGAACGGAATAGAGTCGAATGGAATTGAATGGAATGGAATGGACTAGAGTGAAATGGAATCGAACCACAAGGAATGGACAGGAATAGAATGGTCTCGAATTGAATGGAATCGTATGGAATGGCATCAAACGGAATGGAATGGACAGCCACGGAATGGAATGCACTCGAATGCAATGGAGTCGAAACTAATGGACTGGAATAGAATGGACTCGACTGGTACGGACTCCAATGGAATGGAATCGAATGGAAGGGAATCGAACGGAATGGAATCGAACGGAATGGACTCGAAGGGAAAAGACTGCAATGGAAAGGTCTCGAATGGAATGGAAATTAATGGAATGGAATGGAATCGAATGAAATGGAGTCAAAAGGAATGGAATCGAATGGCAAGAAATCGAATGTAATGGAATCGCCAGGAATTGATGTGAACGGAACGGAATGGAATGGAATCCAAAGGAATGGAATAGAATGGAATGGAATCGAATGGAAAGGACTCGAATGGAAATCACTCGAATAGAATGCAATTTAACAAAATAGGATCAAATGGAATGGAATGGAATGGAAAGGAATGGAAACGAAAGGAATGGAGACAGATGGAATGGAATGGAACAGAGAGCAATGGTATAGAATGGAATGGAATCATCTGGAATGGAATTGAATGGAATGGAATAATATGAAATGGAATGGAATGGAATGGAATGGAATGCCCTTGAATTAAATGGACTGGAATGGAATGGACTCAAACAGAGTGGAATGGAAAGTGTGGAGATAGAATGGAATGAACTCCTTTGGAATGGTGTAGTATGCAATGCAATCGACTGGCAGGGAATCAAAAGGAATGTAATCGAATGGATTGGACTGGAATGCAATGGACTCGAATAGATTGGAAACGGAATGCAAAGGAATGGAATGGAATAGTATGGAATGCAATGGAAGGGAATGGAGTGGAATAGACTAGAGTGGAATGGAATGGACTGGAAAGCAATGGACTGGAATGGAACTTTCTTGGATGGACTGGAATCAAACGGAATGGAATGCAGTGCAATCAAATGGCATGGAATAAAATAGAATGAAAGAGAATCAAATGGAATTGAATCGAATGGAATCGAATGGATTGGAAAGGAATAGAATGGAATGGAATGGAATTGACTCAAATGGAATGGACTAGAATGGAATGGATTCGAATGGAAGGCAAAGGAATGGAATCTATTGGAATGGACTGTAATGGAATGGAATGGAAGGGATTGGAATGGACTCGAATGGAATGGACTGCAATAGAAAGGATTCGAATGGAATGAAAAAGAATTGAATGGAATAGAACAGAATGGAATGAAATCGAATGAAATGGAATGGAATAGAAAGGAATGGAATGAAATGGAATGGAAAGGATTCGAATGGAATGCAATCGAATGGAATGGAATCGAACGGAATGGAATAAAATGGAAGAAAACTGGCAAGAAATGGAATCGAAATGAATGGAGTGTTATGGAACGGACTCAAAAGGAATTGAATGTAATAGAATGGAGTGGAGTGGACTCGAATATAATGGACTGGAATGGAATGAAATCACATGGAATGGGAACGAATGGAATGGAATGGAAAGGAATGGAATCGAATGGAAAGGAATCGAATGGAAGGGAATGAAATTGAATCAACACGAATGGAAGGGAATAGAATAGACTGTAATGGAATGGACTCGAATAGAATGGACACGAATGCTCAAATTAAATGGACTCGAATGGAATGGAAACGAAAGGAATGTCATCGAATGGAATTGAATCGATTGGAATGAAATCGCATAGAATGGAGTGGAATCAAATGGAATTGAATCGAAAGGAAAGGAAGCGAATGGACTGAAATGAAATGGAATGGAATTGAATGGAAAGTAATGCAATGGAATAGAATGGAACGAAATTTCACGGAATGGAATCAAACTGAATGGAATCAAATCAATGGAATCAAATCAAATGGAATGGAAAGGAATTGAATGGAGTAGATGGGATTGGATGGGATTGGAATGAAATGTACTGGAAAGGACTCGAATTTCATGAAACGGAATGGAATGAATTGGAACGGAATGGACTCGAATGGAATGGAATGTCATGGGATGGCATCAAATGGAATGACATCAAATGGAATGGAATCGAATGCAATGGAATGCTATGGAATGGAATGGAATGCATTGGAATGGAATGTCCGCTAATGGAATGGATTCGAGTGGAATGGAATTGAATATAATGGAGTCGAATGAAATGGAATTGAAAGGAATGGGATCGAATACAATGGAATATACTGGAATGTAACGTAATGAACTCGAATGTAATTGACTGGAATGGAATGTACATGAATGGAATGTAATCGAATGGAAAGTAATCCAATGGAATAGAATCTAATGCAATAAAATCGACTCAGATAGAGTAGAATGTAATGGAATGGAGTGCAGTGCAATGGAATGGAATGGAATGGAATGCAATGGAATGGAATGGAATGGAATGGAATGGAATGGAATGGAATGAGATGGAATGGGATGGAATGGTATGGAATGGATAGTAATGGACTGGAGTGAAATGGACTGGAAAGGAATGGACTCAAATTGAAAGGTCTCGAAAGGAATGGAGTCAAATGGAATGGTCTGGAATGGAATGAACACGAATGTAATGCAACCCAATAGAATGGAATCGAATGGCATGGATTATAAAGAAATGGATTCGAAGAGAATGGAAACAAATGGAATGGAATTGAATGGAATGGAATTGAATGGAATGGGAACGAATGGAGTGAAATTGTATGCAGTAGAAGAGAATAGAATGGAATGCAAGCGAAAGGAAAGGAATGGATTGGAATGGAATGGAATTCATTGGAATGGAAGGGAATGTAGTGTAATGGACAGGCCTGGAATAAAGTGGAATGCTACGGTCTCGAATGGAATAAAAATGTATGGAATGGAATGCAATGAAACGGAATCGAATGTCATAGAATGTAATGGAATGCAAAAAAATGGAATCCAAAATCATTGACTGGAAAGGCTGGGTGTCGAAAGGAATTGACTCCAATGGAATGGAATCGAATGGAATGGAAGTGAATAGAATCGAACTAAATCGAATGGAATGGAATTGATAGGAACGGAATGGAAAGGAATGCAATGATTTGGCATGGAATGGAATCGAATGGCATCGAATGGAATGGAATGGAATGCAATGGAATGGAATGTATTAGAATGTAATGAACTTTAATGGAATGTACTCGAATGGATTCGACTGGAATGGAATGTTCTGGAAGTGAATGGACTCCAATGGAATGGATTCAAAAGGAATGGAATCGTACGGAATGGAATCTAATGGAATGGAATTAAATGGAAATGAATCAAATTGAATAGCACGGAATTGAATTGAATGGAATGGAATGCAATGGAATCTAATGAAACGGAAAGGAAAGGAATGGAATGGAATGGAATGGGCTGGAATGGAAAGGAATCGAAACGAATGGAATGGAATCGAACTGAAGAGACTGGAATGGAATGCACTGGAATGGAAGGGAGTGTAATGGAAGGTTGTCGAAAAAAATGGAATCGAATGGAATGGAATTGAATGGAACGGAATAGAGTCGAATGGAATTGAATGGAATGGAATGGACTAGAGTGAAATGGAATCGAACCACAAGGAATGGACAGGAATAGAATGGTCTCGAATTGAATGGAATCGTATGGAATGGCATCAAACGGAATGGAATGGACAGCCACGGAATGGAATGCACTCGAATGCAATGGAGTCGAAACTAATGGACTGGAATAGAATGGACTCGACTGGTACGGACTCCAATGGAATGGAATCGAATGGAAGGGAATCGAACGGAATGGACTCGAAGGGAAAAGACTGCAATGGAAAGGTCTCGAATGGAATGGAAATTAA
This sequence comes from Homo sapiens, assembly GCF_000001405.40. NCBI lineage: Eukaryota > Metazoa > Chordata > Mammalia > Primates > Hominidae > Homo > Homo sapiens. Next base: position 56,715,520 of record NC_000024.10, read on the forward strand.
TGGAATGGAATGGAATCGAATGAAATGGAGTCAAAAGGAATGGAATCGAATGGCAAGAAATCGAATGTAATGGAATCGCCAGGAATTGATGTGAACGGAACGGAATGGAATGGAATCCAAAGGAATGGAATAGAATGGAATGGAATCGAATGGAAAGGACTCGAATGGAAATCACTCGAATAGAATGCAATTTAATAAAATAGGATCAAATGTAATGGAATGGAATGGAAAGGAATCGAAACGAAAGGAATGGAGACAGATGGAATGGAATGGAACAGAGAGCAATGGTATAGAATGGAATGGAATCATCTGGAATGGAATTGAATGGAATGGAATAATATGAAATGGAATGGAATGGAATGGAATGGAATGCCCTTGAATTAAATGGACTGGAATGGAATGGACTCAAACAGAGTGGAATGGAAAGTGTGGAGATAGAATGGAATGAACTCCTTTGGAATGGTGTAGTATGCAATGCAATCGACTGGCAGGGAATCAAAAGGAATGTAATCGAATGGATTGGACTGGAATGCAATGGACTCGAATAGATTGGAAACGGAATGCAAAGTAATGGAATGGAATAGTATGGAATGCAATGGAAGGGAATGGAGTGGAATAGACTAGAGTGGAATGGAATGGACTGGAAAGCAATGGACTGGAATGGAACTTTCTTGGATGGACTGGAATCAAACGGAATGGAATGCAGTGCAATCAAATGGCATGGAATAAAATAGAATGAAAGAGAATCAAATGGAATTGAATCGAATGGAATCGAATGGATTGGAAAGGAATAGAATGGAATGGAATGGAATTGACTCAAATGGAATGGACTAGAATGGAATGGATTCGAATGGAAGGCAAAGGAATGGAATCTATTGGAATGGACTGTAATGGAATGGAATGGAAGGGATTGGAATGGACTCGAATGGAATGGACTGCAATAGAAAGGATTCGAATGGAATGAAAAAGAATTGAATGGAATAGAACAGAATGGAATCAAATCGAATGAAATGGAATGGAATAGAAAGGAATGGAATGAAATGGAATGGAAAGGATTCGAATGGAATGCAATCGAATGGAATGGAATCGAACGGAATGGAATAAAATGGAAGAAAACTGGCAAGAAATGGAATCGAAATGAATGGAGTGTTATGGAACGGACTCAAAAGGAATTGAATGTAATAGAATGGAGTGGAGTGGACTCGAATATAATGGACTGGAATGGAATGAAATCACATGGAATGGGAACGAATGGAATGGAATGGAAAGGAATGGAATCGAATGGAAAGGAATCGAATGGAAGGGAATGAAATTGAATCAACACGAATGGAAGGGAATAGAATAGACTGTAATGGAATGGACTCGAATAGAATGGACACGAATGCTCAAATTAAATGGACTCGAATGGAATGGAAACGAAAGGAATGTCATCGAATGGAATTGAATCGATTGGAATGAAATCGCATAGAATGGAGTGGAATCAAATGGAATTGAATCGAAAGGAAAGGAAGCGAATGGACTGAAATGAAATGGAATGGAATTGAATGGAAAGTAATGCAATGGAATAGAATGGAACGAAATTTCACGGAATGGAATCAAACTGAATGGAATCAAATCAATGGAATCAAATCAAATGGAATGGAAAGGAATTGAATGGAGTAGATGGGATTGGATGGGATTGGAATGAAATGTACTGGAAAGGACTCGAATTTCATGAAACGGAATGGAATGAATTGGAACGGAATGGACTCGAATGGAATGGAATGTCATGGGATGGCATCAAATGGAATGGCATCAAATGGAATGGAATCGAATGCAATGGAATGCTATGGAATGGAATGGAATGCATTGGAATGGAATGTCCTCTAATGGAATGGATTCGAGTGGAATGGAATTGAATATAATGGAGTCGAATGAAATGGAATTGAAAGGAATGGGATCGAATACAATGGAATATACTGGAATGTAACGTAATGAACTCGAATGTAATTGACTGGAATGGAATGTACATGAATGGAATGTAATCGAATGGAAAGTAATCCAATGGAATAGAATCTAATGCAATAAAATCGACTCAGATAGAGTAGAATGTAATGGAATGGAGTGCAGTGCAATGGAATGGAATGGAATGGAATGCAATGGAATGGAATGGAATGGAATGGGATGGAATGGTATGGAATGGATAGTAATAGACTGGAGTGAAATGGACTGGAAAGGAATGGACTCAAATTGAAAGGGCTCGAAAGGAATGGAGTCAAATGGAATGGTCTGGAATGGAATGAACACGAATGTAATGCAACCCAATAGAATGGAATCGAATGGCATGGAATATAAAGAAATGGAATCGAAGAGAATGGAAACAAAGGGAATGGAATTGAATGGAATGGAATTGAATGGAATGGGAACGAATGGAGTGAAATTGTATGCAGTAGAAGAGAATAGAATGGAATGCAAGCGAAAGGAAAGGAATGGATTGGAATGGAATGGAATTCATTGGAATGGAAGGGAATGTAGTGTAATGGACAGGCCTGGAATAAAGTGGAATGCTACGGTCTCGAATGGAATAAAAATGTATGGAATGGAATGCAATGAAACGGAATCGAATGTCATAGAATGTAATGGAATGCAAAAAAATGGAATCCAAAATCATTGACTGGAAAGGCTGGGTGTCGAAAGGAATTGACTCCAATGGAATGGAATCGAATGGAATGGAAGTGAATAGAATCAAACTAAATCGAATGGAATGGAATTGATAGGAACGGAATGGAAAGGAATGCAATGATTTGGCATGGAATGGAATCGAATGGCATCGAATGGAATGGAATGGAATGCAATGGAATGGAATGTATTAGAATGTAATGAACTTTAATGGAATGTACTCGAATGGATTCGACTGGAATGGAATGTTCTGGAAGTGAATGGACTCCAATGGAATGGATTCAAAAGGAATGGAATCGTACGGAATGGAATCTAATGGAATGGAATTAAATGGAAATGAATCAAATTGAATAGCACGGAATTGAATTGAATGGAATGGAATGCAATGGAATCTAATGAAACGGAAAGGAAAGGAATGGAATGGAATGGAATGGGCTGGAATGGAAAGGAATCGAAACGAATGGAATGGAATCGAACTGAAGAGACTGGAATGGAATGCACTGGAATGGAAGGGAGTGTAATGGAAGGTTGTCGAAAAAAATGGAATCGAATGGAATGGAATTGAATGGAACGGAATAGAGTCGAATGGAATTGAATGGAATGGAATGGACTAGAGTGAAATGGAATCGAACCACAAGGAATGGACAGGAATAGAATGGTCTCGAATTGAATGGAATCGTATGGAATGGCATCAAACGGAATGGAATGGACAGCCACGGAATGGAATGCACTCGAATGCAATGGAGTCGAAACTAATGGACTGGAATAGAATGGACTCGACTGGTACGGACTCCAATGGAATGGAATCGAATGGACGGGAATCGAACGGAAGGGAATCGAACGGAATGGACTCGAAGGGAAAAGACTGCAATGGAAAGGTCTCGAATGGAATGGAAATTAATGGAATGGAATGGAATCGAATGAAATGGAGTCAAAAGGAATGGAATCGAATGGCAAGAAATCGAATGTAATGGAATCGCCAGGAATTGATGTGAACGGAACGGAATGGAATGGAATCCAAAGGAATGGAATAGAATGGAATGGAATCGAATGGAAAGGACTCGAATGGAAATCACTCGAATAGAATGCAATTTAATAAAATAGGATCAAATGTAATGGAATGGAATGGAAAGGAATCGAAACGAAAGGAATGGAGACAGATGGAATGGAATGGAACAGAGAGCAATGGTATAGAATGGAATGGAATCATCTGGAATGGAATTGAATGGAATGGAATAATATGAAATGGAATGGAATGGAATGGAATGGAATGCCCTTGAATTAAATGGACTGGAATGGAATGGACTCAAACAGAGTGGAATGGAAAGTGTGGAGATAGAATGGAATGAACTCCTTTGGAATGGTGTAGTATGCAATGCAATCGACTGGCAGGGAATCAAAAGGAATGTAATCGAATGGATTGGACTGGAATGCAATGGACTCGAATAGATTGGAAACGGAATGCAAAGGAATGGAATGGAATAGTATGGAATGCAATGGAAGGGAATGGAGTGGAATAGACTAGAGTGGAATGGAATGGACTGGAAAGCAATGGACTGGAATGGAACTTTCTTGGATGGACTGGAATCAAACGGAATGGAATGCAGTGCAATCAAATGGCATGGAATAAAATAGAATGAAAGAGAATCAAATGGAATTGAATCGAATGGAATCGAATGGATTGGAAAGGAATAGAATGGAATGGAATGGAATTGACTCAAATGGAATGGACTAGAATGGAATGGATTCGAATGGAAGGCAAAGGAATGGAATCTATTGGAATGGACTGTAATGGAATGGAATGGAAGGGATTGGAATGGACTCGAATGGAATGGACTGCAATAGAAAGGATTCGAATGGAATGAAAAAGAATTGAATGGAATAGAACAGAATGGAATGAAATCGAATGAAATGGAATGGAATAGAAAGGAATGGAATGAAATGGAATGGAAAGGATTCGAATGGAATGCAATCGAATGGAATGGAATCGAACGGAATGGAATAAAATGGAAGAAAACTGGCAAGAAATGGAATCGAAATGAATGGAGTGTTATGGAACGGACTCAAAAGGAATTGAATGTAATAGAATGGATGGGTGGCTCGAATTAATGGACTGGAATGGATGAAATACATGGAATGGGACAATGGAATGGATGGAAAGGAATGGATCATGGAAAGGAATCGATGGAAGGGAATGAAATTGAATCAACACGAATGGAAGGAATAGAATAGACTGTAATGGAATGGACTCGAATAGAATGGACACGAATGCTCAAATTAAATGGACTCGAATGGAATGGAAACGAAAGGAATGTCATCGAATGGAATTGAATCGATTGGAATGAAATCGCATAGAATGGAGTGGAATCAAATGGAATTGAATCGAAAGGAAAGGAAGCGAATGGACTGAAATGAAATGGAATGGAATTGAATGGAAAGTAATGCAATGGAATAGAATGGAACGAAATTTCACGGAATGGAATCAAACTGAATGGAATCAAATCAATGGAATCAAATCAAATGGAATGGAAAGGAATTGAATGGAGTAGATGGGATTGGATGGGATTGGAATGAAATGTACTGGAAAGGACTCGAATTTCATGAAACGGAATGGAATGAATTGGAACGGAATGGACTCGAATGGAATGGAATGTCATGGGATGGCATCAAATGGAATGACATCAAATGGAATGGAATCGAATGCAATGGAATGCTATGGAATGGAATGGAATGCATTGGAATGGAATGTCCTCTAATGGAATGGATTCGAGTGGAATGGAATTGAATATAATGGAGTCGAATGAAATGGAATTGAAAGGAATGGGATCGAATACAATGGAATACACTGGAATGTAACGTAATGAACTCGAATGTAATTGACTGGAATGGAATGTACATGAATGGAATGTAATCGAATGGAAAGTAATCCAATGGAATAGAATCTAATGCAATAAAATCGACTCAGATAGAGTAGAATGTAATGGAATGGAGTGCAGTGCAATGGAATGGAATGGAATGGAATGCAATGGAATGGAATGGAATGGAATGGAATGGAATGGAATGGAATGGAATGGAATGGGATGGAATGGTATGGAATGGATAGTAATGGACTGGAGTGAAATGGACTGGAAAGGAATGGACTCAAATTGAAAGGGCTCGAAAGGAATGGAGTCAAATGGAATGGTCTGGAATGGAATGAACACGAATGTAATGCAACCCAATAGAATGGAATCGAATGGCATGGAATATAAAGAAATGGAATCGAAGAGAATGGAAACAAATGGAATGGAATTGAATGGAATGGAATTGAATGGAATGGGAACGAATGGAGTGAAATTGTATGCAGTAGAAGAGAATAGAATGGAATGCAAGCGAAAGGAAAGGAATGGATTGGAATGGAATGGAATTCATTGGAATGGAAGGGAATGTAGTGTAATGGACAGGCCTGGAATAAAGTGGAATGCTACGGTCTCGAATGGAATAAAAATGTATGGAATGGAATGCAATGAAACGGAATCGAATGTCATAGAATGTAATGGAATGCAAAAAATGGAATCCAAAATCATTGACTGGAAAGGCTGGGTGTCGAAAAGAAATGACTCCAATGGAATGGAATCGAATGGAATGGAAGTGAATAGAATCGAACTAAATCGAATGGAATGGAATTGATAGGAACGGAATGGAAAGGAATGCAATGATTTGGCATGGAATGGAATCGAATGGCATCGAATGGAATGGAATGGAATGCAATGGAATGGAATGTATTAGAATGTAATGAACTTTAATGGAATGTACTCGAATGGATTCGACTGGAATGGAATGTTCTGGAAGTGAATGGACTCCAATGGAATGGATTCAAAAGGAATGGAATCGTACGGAATGGAATCTAATGGAATGGAATTAAATGGAAATGAATCAAATTGAATAGCACGGAATTGAATTGAATGGAATGGAATGCAATGGAATCTAATGAAACGGAAAGGAAAGGAATGGAATGGAATGGAATGGGCTGGAATGGAAAGGAATCGAAACGAATGGAATGGAATCGAAGTGAAGAGACTGGAATGGAATGCACTGGAATGGAAGGGAGTGTAATGGAAGGTTCTCGAAAAAAATGGAATCGAATGGAATGGAATTGAATGGAACGGAATAGAGTCGAATGGAATTGAATGGAATGGAATGGACTAGAGTGAAATGGAATCGAACCACAAGGAATGGACAGGAATAGAATGGTCTCGAATTGAATGGAATCGTATGTAATGGCATCAAACGGAATGGAATGGACAGCCACGGAATGGAATGCACTCGAATGCAATGGAGTCGAAACTAATGGACTGGAATAGAATGGACTCGACTGGTACGGACTCCAATGGAATGGAATCGAATGGAAGGGAATCGAACGGAATGGAATCGAACGGAATGGACTCGAAGGGAAAAGACTGCAATGGAAAGGTCTCGAATGGAATGGAAATTAATGGAATGGAATGGAATCGAATGAAATGGAGTCAAAAGGAATGGAATCGAATGGCAAGAAATCGAATGTAATGGAATCGCCAGGAATTGATGTGAACGGAACGGAATGGAATGGAATCCAAAGGAATGGAATAGAATGGAATGGAATCGAATGGAAAGGACTCGAATGGAAATCACTCGAATAGAATGCAATTTAATAAAATAGGATCAAATGTAATGGAATGGAATGGAAAGGAATCGAAACGAAAGGAATGGAGACAGATGGAATGGAATGGAACAGAGAGCAATGGTATAGAATGGAATGGAATCATCTGGAATGGAATTGAATGGAATGGAATAATATGAAATGGAATGGAATGGAATGGAATGGAATGCCCTTGAATTAAATGGACTGGAATGGAATGGACTCAAACAGAGTGGAATGGAAAGTGTGGAGATAGAATGGAATGAACTCCTTTGGAATGGTGTAGTATGCAATGCAATCGACTGGCAGGGAGTCAAAAGGTATGTAATCGAATGGATTGGACTGGAATGCAAAGGACTCGAATAGATTGGAAACGGAATGCAAAGGAATGGAATGGAATAGTATGGAATGCAATGGAAGGGAATGCAGTGGAATAGACTAGAGTGGAATGGAATGGACTGGAAAGCAATGGACTGGAATGGAACTTTCTTGGATGGACTGGAATCAAACGGAATGGAATGCAGTGCAATCAAATGGCATGGAATAAAATAGAATGAAAGAGAATCAAATGGAATTGAATCGAATGGAATCGAATGGATTGGAAAGGAATAGAATGGAATGGAATGGAATTGACTCAAATGGAATGGACTAGAATGGAATGGATTCGAATGGAAGGCAAAGGAATGGAATCTATTGGAATGGACTGTAATGGAATGGAATGGAAGGGATTGGAATGGACTCGAATGGAATGGACTGCAATAGAAAGGATTCGAATGGAATGAAAAAGAATTGAATGGAATAGAACAGAATGGAATCAAATCGAATGAAATGGAATGGAATAGAAAGGAATGGAATGAAATGGAATGGAAAGGATTCGAATGTAATGCAATCGAATGGAATGGAATCGAACGGAATGGAATAAAATGGAAGAAAACTGGCAAGAAATGGAATCGAAATGAATGGAGTGTTATGGAACGGACTCAAAAGGAATTGAATGTAATAGAATGGAGTGGAGTGGACTCGAATATAATGGACTGGAATGGAATGAAATCACATGGAATGGGAACGAATGGAATGGAATGGAAAGGAATGGAATCGAATGGAAAGGAATCGAATGGAAGGGAATGAAATTGAATCAACAGGAATGGAAGGGAATAGAATAGACTGTAATGGAATGGACTCGAATAGAATGGACACGAATGCTCAAATTAAATGGACTCGAATGGAATGGAAACGAAAGGAATGTCATCGAATGGAATTCAATCGATTGGAATGAAATCGCATAGAATGGAGTGGAATCAAATGGAATTGAATCGAAAGGAAAGGAAGCGAATGGACTGAAATGAAATGGAATGGAATTGAATGGAAAGTAATGCAATGGAATAGAATGGAACGAAATTTCACGGAATGGAATCAAACTGAATGGAATCAAATCAATGGAATCAAATCAAATGGAATGGAAAGGAATTGAATGGAGTAGATGGGATTGGATGGGATTGGAATGAAATGTACTGGAAAGGACTCGAATTTCATGAAACGGAATGGAATGAATTGGAACGGAATGGACTCGAATGGAATGGAATGTCATGGGATGGCATCAAATGGAATGGCATCAAATGGAATGGAATCGAATGCAATGGAATGCTATGGAATGGAATGGAATGCATTGGAATGGAATGTCCTCTAATGGAGTGGATTCGAGTGGAATGGAATTGAATATAATGGAGTCGAATGAAATGGAATTGAAAGGAATGGGATCGAATACAATGGAATATACTGGAATGTAACGTAATGAACTCGAATGTAATTGACTGGAATGGAATGTACATGAATGGAATGTAATCGAATGGAAAGTAATCCAATGGAATAGAATCTAATGCAATAAAATCGACTCAGATAGAGTAGAATGTAATGGAATGGAGTGCAGTGCAATGGAATGGAATGGAATGGAATGCAATGGAATGGAATGGAATGGAATGGAATGGAATGGAATGGAATGGAATGGAATGGAATGGGATGGAATGGTATGGAATGGATAGTAATGGACTGGAGTGAAATGGACTGGAAAGGAATGGACTCAAATTGAAAGGGCTCGAAAGGAATGGAGTCAAATGGAATGGTCTGGAATGGAATGAACACGAATGTAATGCAACCCAATAGAATGGAATCGAATGGCATGGAATATAAAGAAATGGAATCGAAGAGAATGGAAACAAATGGAATGGAATTGAATGGAATGGAATTGAATGGAATGGGAACGAATGGAGTGAAATTGTATGCAGTAGAAGAGAATAGAATGGAATGCAAGCGAAAGGAAAGGAATGGATTGGAATGGAATGGAATTCATTGGAATGGAAGGGAATGTAGTGTAATGGACAGGCCTGGAATAAAGTGGAATGCTACGGTCTCGAATGGAATAAAAATGTATGGAATGGAATGCAATGAAACGGAATCGAATGTCATAGAATGTAATGGAATGCAAAAAAATGGAATCCAAAATCATTGACTGGAAAGGCTGGGTGTCGAAAGGAATTGACTCCAATGGAATGGAATCGAATGGAATGGAAGTGAATAGAATCGAACTAAATCGAATGGAATGGAATTGATAGGAACGGAATGGAAAGGAATGCAATGATTTGGCATGGAATGGAATCGAATGGCATCGAATGGAATGGAATGGAATGCAATGGAATGGAATGTATTAGAATGTAATGAACTTTAATGGAATGTACTCGAATGGATTCGACTGGAATGGAATGTTCTGGAAGTGAATGGACTCCAATGGAATGGATTCAAAAGGAATGGAATCGTACGGAATGGAATCTAATGGAATGGAATTAAATGGAAATGAATCAAATTGAATAGCACGGAATTGAATTGAATGGAATGGAATGCAATGGAATCTAATGAAACGGAAAGGAAAGGAATGGAATGGAATGGAATGGGCTGGAATGGAAAGGAATCGAAACGAATGGAATGGAATCGAAGTGAAGAGACTGGAATGGAATGCACTGGAATGGAAGGGAGTGTAATGGAAGGTTCTCGAAAAAAATGGAATCGAATGGAATGGAATTGAATGGAACGGAATAGAGTCGAATGGAATTGAATGGAATGGAATGGACTAGAGTGAAATGGAATCGAACCACAAGGAATGGACAGGAATAGAATGGTCTCGAATTGAATGGAATCGTATGGAATGGCATCAAACGGAATGGAATGGACAGCCACGGAATGGAATGCACTCGAATGCAATGGAGTCGAAACAAATGGACTGGAATAGAATGGACTCGACTGGTACGGACTCCAATGGAATGGAATCGAATGGAAGGGAATCGAACGGAAGGGAATCGAACGGAATGGACTCGAAGGGAAAAGACTGCAATGGAAAGGTCTCGAATGGAATGGAAATTAATGGAATGGAATGGAATCGAATGAAATGGAGTCAAAAGGAATGGAATCGAATGGCAAGAAATCGAATGTAATGGAATCGCCAGGAATTGATGTGAACGGAACGGAATGGAATGGAATCCAAAGGAATGGAATAGAATGGAATGGAATCGAATGGAAAGGACTCGAATGGAAATCACTCGAATAGAATGCAATTTAATAAAATAGGATCAAATGTAATGGAATGGAATGGAAAGGAATCGAAACGAAAGGAATGGAGACAGATGGAATGGAATGGAACAGAGAGCAATGGTATAGAATGGAATGGAATCATCTGGAATGGAATTGAATGGAATGGAATAATATGAAATGGAATGGAATGGAATGGAATGGAATGCCCTTGAATTAAATGGACTGGAATGGAATGGACTCAAACAGAGTGGAATGGAAAGTGTGGAGATAGAATGGAATGAACTCCTTTGGAATGGTGTAGTATGCAATGCAATCGACTGGCAGGGAATCAAAAGGAATGTAATCGAATGGATTGGACTGGAATGCAAAGGACTCGAATAGATTGGAAACGGAATGCAAAGGAATGGAATGGAATAGTATGGAATGCAATGGAAGGGAATGGAGTGGAATAGACTAGAGTGGAATGGAATGGACTGGAAAGCAATGGACTGGAATGGAACTTTCTTGGATGGACTGGAATCAAACGGAATGGAATGCAATGCAATCAAATGGCATGGAATAAAATAGAATGAAAGAGAATCAAATGGAATTGAATCGAATGGAATCGAATGGATTGGAAAGGAATAGAATGGAATGGAATGGAATGGACTCAAATGGAATGTACTAGAATGGAATCGATTCGAATGGAAGGCAAAGGAATGGAATCTATTGGAATGGACTGTAATGGAATGGAATGGAAGGGATTGGAATGGACTCGAATGGAATGGACTGCAATAGAAAGGATTCGAATGGAATGAAAAAGAATTGAATGGAATAGAACAGAATGGAATCAAATCGAATGAAATGGAATGGAATAGAAAGGAATGGAATGAAATGGAATGGAAAGGATTCGAATGGAATGCAATCGAATGGAATGGAATCGAACGGAATGGAATAAAATGGAAGAAAACTGGCAAGAAATGGAATCGAAATGAATGGAGTGTTATGGAACGGACTCAAAAGGAATTGAATGTAATAGAATGGAGTGGAGTGGACTCGAATATAATGGACTGGAATGGAATGAAATCACATGGAATGGGAACGAATGGAATGGAATGGAAAGGAATGGAATCGAATGGAAAGGAATCGAATGGAAGGGAATGAAATTGAATCAACACGAATGGAAGGGAATAGAATAGACTGTAATGGAATGGACTCGAATAGAATGGACACGAATGCTCAAATTAAATGGACTCGAATGGAATGGAAACGAAAGGAATGTCACCGAATGGAATTGAATCGATTGGAATGAAATCGCATAGAATGGAGTGGAATCAAATGGAATTGAATCGAAAGGAAAGGAAGCGAATGGACTGAAATGAAATGGAATGGAATTGAATGGAAAGTAATGCAATGGAATAGAATGGAACGAAATTTCACGGAATGGAATGAAACTGAATGGAATCAAATCAATGGAATCAAATCAAATGGAATGGAAAGGAATTGAATGGAGTAGATGGGATTGGATGGGATTGGAATGAAATGTACTGGAAAGGACTCGAATTTCATGAAACGGAATGGAATGAATTGGAACGGAATGGACTCAAATGGAATGGAATGTCATGGGATGGCATCAAATGGAATGACATCAAATGGAATGGAATCGAATGCAATGGAATGCTATGGAATGGAATGGAATGCATTGGAATGGAATGTCCGCTAATGGAATGGATTCGAGTGGAATGGAATCGAATATAATGGAGTCGAATGAAATGGAATTGAAAGGAATGGGATCGAATACAATGGAATATACTGGAATGTAACGTAATGAACTGGAATGTAATTGACTGGAATGGAATGTACATGAATGGAATGTAATCGAATGGAAAGTAATCCAATGGAATAGAATCTAATGCAATAAAATCGACTCAGATAGAGTAGAATGTAATGGAATGGAGTGCAGTGCAATGGAATGGAATGGAATGGAATGCAATGGAATGGAATGGAATGGAATGGAATGGAATGGAATGGAATGGAATGGGATGGAATGGTATGGAATGGATAGTAATGCACTGGAGTGAAATGGACTGGAAAGGAATGGACTCAAATTGAAAGCGCTCGAAAGGAATGGAGTCAAATGGAATGGTCTGGAATGGAATGAACACGAATGTAATGCAACCCAATAGAATGGAATCGAATGGCATGGAATATAAAGAAATGGAATCGAAGAGAATGGAAACAAATGGAATGGAATTGAATGGAATGGAATTGAATGGAATGGGAACGAATGGAGTGAAATTGTATGCAGTAGAAGAGAATAGAATGGAATGCAAGCGAAAGGAAAGGAATGGATTGGAATGGAATGGAATTCATTGGAATGGAAGGGAATGTAGTGTAATGGACAGGCCTGGAATAAAGTGGAATGCTACGGTCTCGAATGGAATAAAAATGTATGGAATGGAATGCAATGAAACGGAATCGAATGTCATAGAATGTAATGGATGCAAAAAAATGAATCCAAAATCATTGACTGGAAAGGCTGGGTGTCGAAAGGAATTGACTCCAATGGAATGGAATCGAATGGAATGGAAGTGAATAGAATCGAACTAAATCGAATGGAATGGAATTGATAGGAACGGAATGGAAAGGAATGCAATGATTTGGCATGGAATGGAATCGAATGGCATCGAATGGAATGGAATGGAATGCAATGGAATGGAATGTATTAGAATGTAATGAACTTTAATGGAATGTACTCGAATGGATTCGACTGGAATGGAATGTTCTGGAAGTGAATGGACTCCAATGGAATGGATTCAAAAGGAATGGAATCGTACGGAATGGAATCTAATGGAATGGAATTAAATGGAAATGAATCAAATTGAATAGCACGGAATTGAATTGAATGGAATGGAATGCAATGGAATCTAATGAAACGGAAAGGAAAGGAATGGAATGGAATGGAATGGGCTGGAATGGAAAGGAATCGAAACGAATGGAATGGAATCGAAGTGAAGAGACTGGAATGGAATGCACTGGAATGGAAGGGAGTGTAATGGAAGGTTCTCGAAAAAAATGGAATCGAATGGAATGGAATTGAATGGAACGGAATAGAGTCGAATGGAATTGAATGGAATGGAATGGACTAGAGTGAAATGGAATCGAACCACAAGGAATGGACAGGAATAGAATGGTCTCGAATTGAATGGAATCGTATGGAATGGCATCAAACGGAATGGAATGGACAGCCACGGAATGGAATGCACTCGAATGCAATGGAGTCGAAACTAATGGACTGGAATAGAATGGACTCGACTGGTACGGACTCCAATGGAATGGAATCGAATGGAAGGGAATCGAACGGAATGGAATCGAACGGAATGGACTCGAAGGGAAAAGACTGCAATGGAAAGGTCTCGAATGGAATGGAAATTAATGGAATGGAATGGAATCGAATGAAATGGAGTCAAAAGGAATGGAATCGAATGGCAAGAAATCGAATGTAATGGAATCGCCAGGAATTGATGTGAACGGAACGGAATGGAATGGAATCCAAAGGAATGGAATAGAATGGAATGGAATCGAATGGAAAGGACTCGAATGGAAATCACTCGAATAGAATGCAATTTAATAAAATAGGATCAAATGTAATGGAATGGAATGGAAAGGAATCGAAACGAAAGGAATGGAGACAGATGGAATGGAATGGAACAGAGAGCAATGGTATAGAATGGAATGGAATCATCTGGAATGGAATTGAATGGAATGGAATAATATGAAATGGAATGGAATGGAATGGAATGGAATGCCCTTGAATTAAATGGACTGGAATGGAATGGACTCAAACAGAGTGGAATGGAAAGTGTGGAGATAGAATGGAATGAACTCCTTTGGAATGGTGTAGTATGCAATGCAATCGACTGGCAGGGAATCAAAAGGAATGTAATCGAATGGATTGGACTGGAATGCAATGGACTCGAAGAGATTGGAAACGGAATGCAAAGGAATGGAATGGAATAGTATGGAATGCAATGGAAGGGAATGGAGTGGAATAGACTAGAGTGGAATGGAATGGACTGGAAAGCAATGGACTGGAATGGAACTTTCTTGGATGGATTGGAATCAAACGGAATGGAATGCAATGCAATCAAATGGCATGGAATAAAATAGAATGAAAGAGAATCAAATGGAATTGAATCGAATGGAATCGAATGGATTGGAAAGGAATAGAATGGAATGGAATGGAATTGACTCAAATGGAATGGACTAGAATGGAATGGATTCGAATGGAAGGCAAAGGAATGGAATCTATTGGAATGGACTGTAATGGAATGGAATGGAAGGGATTGGAATGGACTCGAATGGAATGGACTGCAATAGAAAGGATTCGAATGGAATGAAAAAGAATTGAATGGAATAGAACAGAATGGAATCAAATCGAATGAAATGGAATGGAATAGAAAGGAATGGAATGAAATGGAATGGAAAGGATTCGAATGGAATGCAATCGAATGGAATGGAATCGAACGGAATGGAATAAAATGGAAGAAAACTGGCAAGAAATGGAATCGAAATGAATGGAGTGTTATGGAACGGACTCAAAAGGAATTGAATGTAATAGAATTGAGTGGAGTGGACTCGAATATAATGGACTGGAATGGAATGAAATCACATGGAATGGGAACGAATGGAATGGAATGGAAAGGAATGGAATCCAATGGAAAGGAATCGAATGGAAGGGAATGAAATTGAATCAACAGGAATGGAAGGGAATAGAATAGACGGTAATGGAATGGACTCGGATAGAATGGACACGAATGCTCAAATTAAATGGACTCGAATTGAATGGAAACGAAAGGAATGTTATCGAATGGAATTGAATCGATTGGAATGAAATCGCATAGAATGGAGTGTTATCAAATGGAATTGAATCGAAAGGAAAGGAAGCGAATGGACTGAAATGAAATGGAATGGAATTGAATGGAAAGTAATGCAATGGAATAGAATGGAACGAAATTTCACGGAATGGAATCAAACTGAATGGAATCAAATCAATGGAATCAAATCAAATGGAATGGAAAGGAATTGAATGGAGTAGATGGGATTGGATGGGATTGGAATGAAATGTACTGGAAAGGACTCGAATTTCATGAAACGGAATGGAATGAATTGGAACGGAATGGACTCGAATGGAATGGAATGTCATGGGATGGCATCAAATGGAATGACATCAAATGGAATGGAATCGAATGCAATGGAATGCTATGGAATGGAATGGAATGCATTGGAATGGAATGTCCGCTAATGGAATGGATTCGAGTGGAATGGAATTGAATATAATGGAGTCGAATGAAATGGAATTGAAAGGAATGGGATCGAATACAATGGAATATACTGGAATGTAACGTAATGAACTCGAATGTAATTGACTGGAATGGAATGTACATGAATGGAATGTAATCGAATGGAAAGTAATCCAATGGAATAGAATCTAATGCAATAAAATCGACTCAGATAGAGTAGAATGTAATGGAATGGAGTGCAGTGCAATGGAATGGAATGCAATGGAATGGAATGGAATGGAATGGAATGGAATGGAATGGAATGGAATGGGATGGAATGGTATGGAATGGATAGTAATGGACTGGAGTGAAATGGACTGGAAAGGAATGGACTCAAATTGAAAGGGCTCGAAAGGAATGGAGTCAAATGGAATGGTCTGGAATGGAATGAACACGAATGTAATGCAACCCAATAGAATGGAATCGAATGGCATGGAATATAAAGAAATGGAATCGAAGAGAATGGAAACAAATGGAATGGAATTGAATGGAATGGAATTGAATGGAATGGGAACGAATGGAGTGAAATTGTATGCAGTAGAAGAGAATAGAATGGAATGCAAGCGAAAGGAAAGGAATGGATTGGAATGGAATGGAATTCATTGGAATGGAAGGGAATGTAGTGTAATGGACAGGCCTGGAATAAAGTGGAATGCTACGGTCTCGAATGGAATAAAAATGTATGGAATGGAATGCAATGAAACGGAATCGAATGTCATAGAATGTAATGGAATGCAAAAAAATGGAATCCAAAATCATTGACTGGAAAGGCTGGGTGTCGAAAGGAATTGACTCCAATGGAATGGAATCGAATGGAATGGAAGTGAATAGAATCGAACTAAATCGAATGGAATGGAATTGATAGGAACGGAATGGAAAGGAATGCAATGATTTGGCATGGAATGGAATCGAATGGCATCGAATGGAATGGAATGGAATGCAATGGAATGGAATGTATTAGAATGTAATGAACTTTAATGGAATGTACTCGAATGGATTCGACTGGAATGGAATGTTCTGGAAGTGAATGGACTCCAATGGAATGGATTCAAAAGGAATGGAATCGTACGGAATGGAATCTAATGGAATGGAATTAAATGGAAATGAATCAAATTGAATAGCACGGAATTGAATTGAATGGAATGGAATGCAATGGAATCTAATGAAACGGAAAGGAAAGGAATGGAATGGAATGGAATGGGCTGGAATGGAAAGGAATCGAAACGAATGGAATGGAATCGAACTGAAGAGACTGGAATGGAATGCACTGGAATGGAAGGGAGTGTAATGGAAGGTTGTCGAAAAAAATGGAATCGAATGGAATGGAATTGAATGGAACGGAATAGAGTCGAATGGAATTGAATGGAATGGAATGGACTAGAGTGAAATGGAATCGAACCACAAGGAATGGACAGGAATAGAATGGTCTCGAATTGAATGGAATCGTATGGAATGGCATCAAACGGAATGGAATGGACAGCCACGGAATGGAATGCACTCGAATGCAATGGAGTCGAAACTAATGGACTGGAATAGAATGGACTCGACTGGTACGGACTCCAATGGAATGGAATCGAATGGAAGGGAATCGAACGGAAGGGAATCGAACGGAATGGACTCGAAGGGAAAAGACTGCAATGGAAAGGTCTCGAATGGAATGGAAATTAATGGAATGGAATGGAATCGAATGAAATGGAGTCAAAAGGAATGGAATCGAATGGCAAGAAATCGAATGTAATGGAATCGCCAGGAATTGATGTGAACGGAACGGAATGGAATGGAATCTAAAGGAATGGAATAGAATGGAATGGAATCGAATGGAAAGGACTCGAATGGAAATCACTCGAATAGAATGCAATTTAATAAAATAGGATCAAATGTAATGGAATGGAATGGAAAGGAATCGAAACGAAAGGAATGGAGACAGATGGAATGGAATGGAACAGAGAGCAATGGTATAGAATGGAATGGAATCATCTGGAATGGAATTGAATGGAATGGAATAATATGAAATGGAATGGAATGGAATGGAGTGGAATGCCCTTGAATTAAATGGACTGGAATGGAATGGACTCAAACAGAGTGGAATGGAAAGTGTGGAGATAGAATGGAATGAACTCCTTTGGAATGGTGTAGTATGCAATGCAATCGACTGGCAGGGAATCAAAAGGAATGTAATCGAATGGATTGGACTGGAATGTAATGGACTCGATTAGATTGGAAACGGAATGCAAAGGAATGGAATGGAATAGTATGGAATGCAATGGAAGGGAATGGAGTGGAATAGACTAGAGTGGAATGGAATGGACTGGAAAGCAATGGACTGGAATGGAACTTTCTTGGATGGACTGGAATCAAACGGAATGGAATGCAATGCAATCAAATGGCATGGAATAAAATAGAATGAAAGAGAATCAAATGGAATTGAATCGAATGGAATCAAATGGATTGGAAAGGAATAGAATGGAATGGAATGGAATTGACTCAAATGGAATGGACTAGAATGGAATGGATTCGAATGGAAGGCAAAGGAATGGAATCTATTGGAATGGACTGTAATGGAATGGAATGGAAGGGATTGGAATGGACTCGAATGGAATGGACTGCAATAGAAAGGATTCGAATGGAATGAAAAAGAATTGAATGGAATAGAACAGAATGGAATCAAATCGAATGAAATGGAATGGAATAGAAAGGAATGGAATGAAATGGAATGGAAAGGATTCGAATGGAATGCAATCAAATGGAATGGAATCGAACGGAATGGAATAAAATGGAAGAAAACTGGCAAGAAATGGAATCGAAATGAATGGAGTGTTATGGAACGGACTCAAAAGGAATTGAATGTAATAGAATGGAGTGGAGTGGACTCGAATATAATGGACTGGAATGGAATGAAATCACATGGAATGGGAACGAATGGAATGGAATGGAAAGGAATGGAATCGAATGGAAAGGAATCGAATGGAAGGGAATGAAATTGAATCAACACGAATGGAAGGGAATAGAATAGACTGTAATGGAATGGACTCGAATAGAATGGACACGAATGCTCAAATTGAATGGACTCGAATGGAATGGAAACGAAAGGAATGTCACCGAATGGAATTGAATCGATTGGAATGAAATCGCATAGAATGGAGTGGAATCAAATGGAATTGAATCGAAAGGAAAGGAAGCGAATGGACTGAAATGAAATGGAATGGAATTGAATGGAAAATAATGCAATGGAATAGAATGGAACGAAATTTCACGGAATGGAATCAAACTGAATGGAATCAAATCAATGGAATCAAATCAAATGGAATGGAAAGGAATTGAATGGAGTAGATGGGATTGGATGGGATTGGAATGAAATGTACTGGAAAGGACTCGAATTTCATGAAACGGAATGGAATGAATTGGAACGGAATGGACTCGAATGGAATGGAATGTCATGGGATGGCATCAAATGGAATGACATCAAATGGAATGGAATCGAATGCAATGGAATGCTATGGAATGGAATGGAATGCATTGGAATGGAATGTCCGCTAATGGAATGGATTCGAGTGGAATGTAATTGAATATAATGGAGTCGAATGAAATGGAATTGAAAGGAATGGGATCGAATACAATGGAATATACTGGAATGTAACGTAATGAACTGGAATGTAATTGACTGGAATGGAATGTACATGAATGGAATGTAATCGAATGGAAAGTAATCCAATGGAATAGAATCTAATGCAATAAAATCGACTCAGATAGAGTAGAATGTAATGGAATGGAGTGCAGTGCAATGGAATGGAATGGAATGGAATGCAATGGAATGGAATGGAATGGAATGGAATGGAATGGAATGGAATGGGTTGGAATGGTATGGAATGGATAGTAATGGACTGGAGTGAAATGGACTGGAAAGGAATGGACTCAAATTGAAAGGGCTCGAAAGGAATGGAGTCAAATGGAATGGTCTGGAATGGAATGAACACGAATGTAATGCAACCCAATAGAATGGAATCGAATGGCATGGAATATAAAGAAATGGAATCGAAGAGAATGGAAACAAATGGAATGGAATTGAATGGAATGGAATTGAATGGAATGGGAACGAATGGAGTGAAATTGTATGCAGTAGAAGAGAATAGAATGGAATGCAAGCGAAAGGAAAGGAATGGATTGGAATGGAATGGAATTCATTGGAATGGAAGGGAATGTAGTGTAATGGACAGGCCTGGAATAAAGTGGAATGCTACGGTCTCGAATGGAATAAAAATGTATGGAATGGAATGCAATGAAACGGAATCGAATGTCATAGAATGTAATGGAATGCAAAAAAATGGAATCCAAAATCATTGACTGGAAAGGCTGGGTGTCGAAAGGAATTGACTCCAATGGAATGGAATCGAATGGAATGGAAGTGAATAGAATCGAACTAAATCGAATGGAATGGAATTGATAGGAACGGAATGGAAAGGAATGCAATGATTTGGCATGGAATGGAATCGAATGGCATCGAATGGAATGGAATGTATTAGAATGTAATGAACTTTAATGGAATGTACTCGAATGGATTCGACTGGAATGGAATGTTCTGGAAGTGAATGGACTCCAATGGAATGGATTCAAAAGGAATGGAATCGTACGGAATGGAATCTAATGGAATGGAATTAAATGGAAATGAATCAAATTGAATAGCACGGAATTGAATTGAATGGAATGGAATGCAATGGAATCTAATGAAACGGAAAGGAAAGGAATGGAATGGAATGGAATGGGCTGGAATGGAAAGGAATCGAAACGAATGGAATGGAATCGAAGTGAAGAGACTGGAATGGAATGCACTGGAATGGAAGGGAGTGTAATGGAAGGTTCTCGAAAAAAATGGAATCGAATGGAATGGAATTGAATGGAACGGAATAGAGTCGAATGGAATTGAATGGAATGGAATGGACTAGAGTGAAATGGAATCGAACCACAAGGAATGGACAGGAATAGAATGGTCTCGAATTGAATGGAATCGTATGGAATGGCATCAAACGGAATGGAATGGACAGCCACGGAATGGAATGCACTCGAATGCAATGGAGTCGAAACTAATGGACTGGAATAGAATGGACTCGACTGGTACGGACTCCAATGGAATGGAATCGAATGGAAGGGAATCGAACGGAATGGACTCGAAGGGAAAAGACTGCAATGGAAAGGTCTCGAATGGAATGGAAATTAATGGAATGGAATGGAATCGAATGAAATGGAGTCAAAAGGAATGGAATCGAATGGCAAGAAATCGAATGTAATGGAATCGCCAGGAATTGATGTGAACGGAACGGAATGGAATGGAATCCAAAGGAATGGAATAGAATGGAATGGAATCGAATGGAAAGGACTCGAATGGAAATCACTCGAATAGAATGCAATTTAATAAAATAGGATCAAATGTAATGGAATGGAATGGAAAGGAATCGAAACGAAAGGAATGGAGACAGATGGAATGGAATGGAACAGAGAGCAATGGTATAGAACGGAATGGAATCATCTGGAATGGAATTGAATGGAATGGAATAATATGAAATGGAATGGAATGGAATGGAATGGAATGCCCTTGAATTAAATGGACTGGAATGGAATGGACTCAAACAGAGTGGAATGGAAAGTGTGGAGATAGAATGGAATGAACTCCTTTGGAATGGTGTAGTATGCAATGCAATCGACTGGCAGGGAATCAAAAGGAATGTAATCGAATGGATTGGACTGGAATGCAATGGACTCGAATAGATTGGAAACGGAATGCAAAGGAATGGAATGGAATAGTATGGAATGCAATGGAAGGGAATGGAGTGGAATAGACTAGAGTGGAATGGAATGGACTGGAAAGCAATGGACTGGAATGGAACTTTCTTGGATGGACTGGAATCAAACGGAATGGAATGCAATGCAATCAAATGGCATGGAATAAATTAGAATGAAAGAGAATCAAATGGAATTGAATCGAATGGAATCGAATGGATTGGAAAGGAATAGAATGGAATGGAATGGAATTGACTCAAATGGAATGGACTAGAATGGAATGGATTCGAATGGAAGGCAAAGGAATGGAATCTATTGGAATGGACTGTAATGGAATGGAATGGAAGGGATTGGAATGGACTCGAATGGAATGGACTGCAATAGAAAGGATTCGAATGGAATGAAAAAGAATTGAATGGAATAGAACAGAATGGAATCAAATCGAATGAAATGGAATGGAATAGAAAGGAATGGAATGAAATGGAATGGAAAGGATTCGAATGGAATGCAATCGAATGGAATGGAATCGAACGGAATGGAATAAAATGGAAGAAAACTGGCAAGAAATGGAATCGAAATGAATGGAGTGTTATGGAACGGACTCAAAAGGAATTGAATGTAATAGAATGGAGTGGAGTGGACTCGAATATAATGGACTGGAATGGAATGAAATCACATGGAATGGGAACGAATGGAATGGAATGGAAAGGAATGGAATCGAATGGAAAGGAATCGAATGGAAGGGAATGAAATTGAATCAACACGAATGGAAGGGAATAGAATAGACTGTAATGGAATGGACTCGAATAGAATGGACACGAATGCTCAAATTAAATGGACTCGAATGGAATGGAAACGAAAGGAATGTCATCGAATGGAATTGAATCAATTGGAATGAAATCGCATAGAATGGAGTGGAATCAAATGGAATTGAATCGAAAGGAAAGGAAGCGAATGGACTGAAATGAAATGGAATGGAATTGAATGGAAAGTAATGCAATGGAATAGAATGGAACGAAATTTCACGGAATGGAATCAAACTGAATGGAATCAAATCAATGGAATCAAATCAAATGGAATGGAAAGGAATTGAATGGAGTAGATGGGATTGGATGGGATTGGAATGAAATGTACTGGAAAGGACTCGAATTTGATGAAACGGAATGGAATGAATTGGAACGGAATGGACTCGAATGGAATGGAATGTCATGGGATGGCATCAAATGGAATGGCATCAAATGGAATGGAATCGAATGCAATGGAATGCTATGGAATGGAATGGAATGCATTGGAATGGAATGTCCTCTAATGGAATGGATTCGAGTGGAATGGAATTGAATATAATGGAGTCGAATGAAATGGAATTGAAAGGAATGGGATCGAATACAATGGAATATACTGGAATGTAACGTAATGAACTCGAATGTAATTGACTGGAATGGAATGTACATGAATGGAATGTAATCGAATGGAAAGTAATCCAATGGAATAGATTCTAATGCAATAAAATCGACTCAGATAGAGTAGAATGTAATGGAATGGAGTGCAGTGCAATGGAATGGAATGGAATGGAATGCAATGGAATGGAATGGAATGGAATGGAATGGAATGGAATGGAATGGGATGGAATGGTATGGAATGGATAGTAATGGACTGGAGTGAAATGGACTGGAAAGGAATGGACTCAAATTGAAAGGGCTCGAAAGGAATGGAGTCAAATGGAATGGTCTGGAATGGAATGAACACGAATGTAATGCAACCCAATAGAATGGAATCGAATGGCATGGAATATAAAGAAATGGAATCGAAGAGAATGGAAACAAATGGAATGGAATTGAATGGAATGGAATTGAATGGAATGGGAACGAATGGAGTGAAATTGTATGCAGTAGAAGAGAATAGAATGGAATGCAAGCGAAAGGAAAGGAATGGATTGGAATGGAATGGAATTCATTGGAATGGAAGGGAATGTAGTGTAATGGACAGGCCTGGAATAAAGTGGAATGCTACGGTCTCGAATGGAATAAAAATGTATGGAATGGAATGCAATGAAACGGAATCGAATGTCATAGAATGTAATGGAATGCAAAAAAATGGAATCCAAAATCATTGACTGGAAAGGCTGGGTGTCGAAAGGAATTGACTCCAATGGAATGGAATCGAATGGAATGGAAGTGAATAGAATCGAACTAAATCGAATGGAATGGAATTGATAGGAACGGAATGGAAAGGAATGCAATGATTTGGCATGGAATGGAATCGAATGGCATCGAATGGAATGGAATGGAATGCAATGGAATGGAATGTATTAGAATGTAATGAACTTTAATGGAATGTACTCGAATGGATTCGACTGGAATGGAATGTTCTGGAAGTGAATGGACTCCAATGGAATGGATTCAAAAGGAATGGAATCGTACGGAATGGAATCTAATGGAATGGAATTAAATGGAAATGAATCAAATTGAATAGCACGGAATTGAATTGAATGGAATGGAATGCAATGGAATCTAATGAAACGGAAAGGAAAGGAATGGAATGGAATGGAATGGGCTGGAATGGAAAGGAATCGAAACGAATGGAATGGAATCGAACTGAAGAGACTGGAATGGAATGCACTGGAATGGAAGGGAGTGTAATGCAAGGTTCTCGAAAAAAATGGAATCGAATGGAATGGAATTGAATGGAACGGAATAGAGTCGAATGGAATTGAATGGAATGGAATGGACTAGAGTGAAATGGAATCGAACCACAAGGAATGGACAGGAATAGAATGGTCTCGAATTGAATGGAATCGTATGGAATGGCATCAAACGGAATGGAATGGACAGCCACGGAATGGAATGCACTCGAATGCAATGGAGTCGAAACTAATGGACTGGAATAGAATGGACTCGACTGGTACGGACTCCAATGGAATGGAATCGAATGGAAGGGAATCGAACGGAAGGGAATCGAACGGAATGGACTCGAAGGGAAAAGACTGCAATGGAAAGGTCTCGAATGGAATGGAAATTAATGGAATGGAATGGAATCGAATGAAATGGAGTCAAAAGGAATGGAATCGAATGGCAAGAAATCGAATGTAATGGAATCGCCAGGAATTGATGTGAACGGAACGGAATGGAATGGAATCCAAAGGAATGGAATAGAATGGAATGGAATCGAATGGAAAGGACTCGAATGGAAATCACTCGAATAGAATGCAATTTAATAAAATAGGATCAAATGTAATGGAATGGAATGGAAAGGAATCGAAACGAAAGGAATGGAGACAGATGGAATGGAATGGAACAGAGAGCAATGGTATAGAATGGAATGGAATCATCTGGAATGGAATTGAATGGAATGGAATAATATGAAATGGAATGGAATGGAATGGAATGGAATGCCCTTGAATTAAATGGACTGGAATGGAATGGACTCAAACAGAGTGGAATGGAAAGTGTGGAGATAGAATGGAATGAACTCCTTTGGAATGGTGTAGTATGCAATGCAATCGACTGGCAGGGAATCAAAAGGAATGTAATCGAATGGATTGGACTGGAATGCAATGGACTCGAATAGATTGTAAACGGAATGCAAAGGAATGGAATGGAATAGTATGGAATGCAATGGAAGGGAATGGAGTGGAATAGACTAGAGTGGAATGGAATGGACTGGAAAGCACTGGACTGGAATGGAACTTTCTTGGATGGACTGGAATCAAACGGAATGGAATGCAATGCAATCAAATGGCATGGAATAAAATAGAATGAAAGAGAATCAAATGGAATTGAATCGAATGGAATCGAATGGATTGGAAAGGAATAGAATGGAATGGAATGGAATGGACTCAAATGGAATGGACTAGAATGGAATGGATTCGAATGGAAGGCAAAGGAATGGAATCTATTGGAATGGTCTGTAATGGAATGGAATGGAAGGGATTGGAATGGACTCGAATGGAATGGACTGCAATAGAAAGGATTCGAATGGAATGAAAAAGAATTGAATGGAATAGAACAGAATGGAATCAAATCGAATGAAATGGAATGGAATAGAAAGGAATGGAATGAAATGGAATGGAAAGGATTCGAATGGAATGCAATCGAATGGAATGGAATCGAACGGAATGGAAGAAAATGGAAGAAAACTGGCAAGAAATGGAATCGAAATGAATGGAGTGTTATGGAACGGACTCAAAAGGAATTGAATGTAATAGAATGGAGTGGAGTGGACTCGAATATAATGGACTGGAATGGAATGAAATCACATGGAATGGGAACGAATGGAATGGAATGGAAAGGAATGGAATCGAATGGAAAGGAATCGAATGGAAGGGAATGAAATTGAATCAACACGAATGGAAGGGAATAGAATAGACTGTAATGGAATGGACTCGAATAGAATGGACACGAATGCTCAAATTAAATGGACTCGAATGGATTGGAAACGAAAGGAATGTCATCGAATGGAATTGAATCGATTGGAATGAAATCGCATAGAATGGAGTGGAATCAAATGGAATTGAATCGAAAGGAAAGGAAGCGAATGGACTGAAATGAAATGGAATGGAATTGAATGGAAAGTAATGCAATGGAATAGAATGGAACGAAATTTCACGGAATGGAATCAAACTGAATGGAATCAAATCAATGGAATCAAATCAAATGGAATGGAAAGGAATTGAATGGAGTAGATGGGATTGGATGGGATTGGAATGAAATGTACTGGAAAGGACTCGAATTTCATGAAACGGAATGGAATGAATTGGAACGGAATGGACTCGAATGGAATGGAATGTCATGGGATGGCATCAAATGGAATGACATCAAATGGAATGGAATCGAATGCAATGGAATGCTATGGAATGGAATGGAATGCATTGGAATGGAATGTCCGCTAATGGAATGGATTCGAGTGGAATGGAATTGAATATAATGGAGTCGAATGAAATGGAATTGAAAGGAATGGGATCGAATACAATGGAATATACTGGAATGTAACGTAATGAACTCGAATGTAATTGACTGGAATGGAATGTACATGAATGGAATGTAATCGAATGGAAAGTAATCCAATGGAATAGAATCTAATGCAATAAAATCGACTCAGATAGAGTAGAATGTAATGGAATGGAGTGCAGTGCAATGGAATGGAATGGAATGGAATGCAATGGAATGGAATGGAATGGAATGGAATGGAATGGAATGGAATGGAATGGGATGGAATGGGATGGAATGGTATGGAATGGATAGTAATGGACTGGAGTGAAATGGACTGGAAAGGAATGGACTCAAATTGAAAGGTCTCGAAAGGAATGGAGTCAAATGGAATGGTCTGGAATGGAATGAACACGAATGTAATGCAACCCAATAGAATGGAATCGAATGGCATGGAATATAAAGAAATGGAATCGAAGAGAATGGAAACAAATGGAATGGAATTGAATGGAATGGAATTGAATGGAATGGGAACGAATGGAGTGAAATTGTATGCAGTAGAAGAGAATAGAATGGAATGCAAGCGAAAGGAAAGGAATGGATTGGAATGGAATGGAATTCATTGGAATGGAAGGGAATGTAGTGTAATGGACAGGCCTGGAATAAAGTGGAATGCTACGGTCTCGAATGGAATAAAAATGTATGGAATGGAATGCAATGAAACGGAATCGAATGTCATAGAATGTAATGGAATGCAAAAAAATGGAATCCAAAATCATTGACTGGAAAGGCTGGGTGTCGAAAGGAATTGACTCCAATGGAATGGAATCGAATGGAATGGAAGTGAATAGAATCGAACTAAATCGAATGGAATGGAATTGATAGGAACGGAATGGAAAGGAATGCAATGATTTGGCATGGAATGGAATCGAATGGCATCGAATGGAATGGAATGGAATGCAATGGAATGGAATGTATTAGAATGGAATGAACTTTAATGGAATGTACTCGAATGGATTCGACTGGAATGGAATGTTCTGGAAGTGAATGGACTCCAATGGAATGGATTCAAAAGGAATGGAATCGTACGGAATGGAATCTAATGGAATGGAATTAAATGGAAATGAATCAAATTGAATAGCACGGAATTGAATTGAATGGAATGGAATGCAATGGAATCTAATGAAACGGAAAGGAAAGGAATGGAATGGAATGGAATGGGCTGGAATGGAAAGGAATCGAAACGAATGGAATGGAATCGAAGTGAAGAGACTGGAATGGAATGCACTGGAATGGAAGGGAGTGTAATGGAAGGTTCTCGAAAAAAATGGAATCGAATGGAATGGAATTGAATGGAACGGAATAGAGTCGAATGGAATTGAATGGAATGGAATGGACTAGAGTGAAATGGAATCGAACCACAAGGAATGGACAGGAATAGAATGGTCTCGAATTGAATGGAATCGTATGGAATGGCATCAAACGGAATGGAATGGACAGCCACGGAATGGAATGCACTCGAATGCAATGGAGTCGAAACTAATGGACTGGAATAGAATGGACTCGACTGGTACGGACTCCAATGGAATGGAATCGAATGGAAGGGAATCGAACGGAATGGACTCGAAGGGAAAAGACTGCAATGGAAAGGTCTCGAATGGAATGGAAATTAATGGAATGGAATGGAATCGAATGAAATGGAGTCAAAAGGAATGGAATCGAATGGCAAGAAATCGAATGTAATGGAATCGCCAGGAATTGATGTGAACGGAACGGAATGGAATGGAATCCAAAGGAATGGAATAGAATGGAATGGAATCGAATGGAAAGGACTCGAATGGAAATCACTCGAATAGAATGCAATTTAATAAAATAGGATCAAATGTAATGGAATGGAATGGAAAGGAATTGAAACGAAAGGAATGGAGACAGATAGAATGGAATGGAATAGAGAGCAATGGTATAGAATGGAATGGAATCATCTGGAATGGATTTGAATGGAATGGAATAATATGAAATGGAATGGAATGGAATGGAATGGAATGCCCTTGAATTAAATGGACTGGAATGGAATGGACTCAAACAGAGTGGAATGGAAAGTGTGGAGATAGAATGGAATGAACTCCTTTGGAATGGTGTAGTATGCAATGCAATCGACTGGCAGGGAATCAAAAGGAATGTAATCGAATGGATTGGACTGAAATGCAATGGACTCGAATAGATTGGAAACGGAACGCAAAGGAATGGAATGGAATAGTATGGAATGCAATGGAAGGGAATGGAGTGGAATAGACTAGAGTGGAATGGAATGGACTGGAAAGCAATGGACTGGAATGGAACATTCTTGGATGGACTGGAATCAAACGGAATGGAATGCAATGCAATCAAATGGCATGGAATAAAATAGAATGAAAGAGAATCAAATGGAATTGAATCGAATGGAATCGAATGGATTGGAAAGGAATAGAATGGAATGGAATGGAATTGACTCAAATGGAATGGACTAGAATGGAATGGATTCGAATGGAAGGCAAAGGAATGGAATCTATTGGAATGGACTGTAATGGAATGGAATGGAAGGGATTCGAATGGACTCGAATGGAATGGACTGCAATAGAAAGGATTCGAATGGAATGAAAAAGAATTGAATGGAATAGAACAGAATGGAATCAAATCGAATGAAATGGAATGGAATAGAAAGGAATGGAATGAAATGGAATGGAAAGGATTCGAATGGAATGCAATCGAATGGAATGGAATCGAACGGAATGGAATAAAATGGAAGAAAACTGGCAAGAAATGGAATCGAAATGAATGGAGTGTTATGGAACGGACTCAAAAGGAATTGAATGTAATAGAATGGAGTGGAGTGGACTCGAATATAATGGACTGGAATGGAATGAAATCACATGGAATGGGAACGAATGGAATGGAATGGAAAGGAATGGAATCGAATGGAAAGGAATCGAATGGAAGGAAATGAAATTGAATCAACACGAATGGAAGGGAATAGAATAGACTGTAATGGAATGGACTCGAATAGAATGGACACGAATGCTCAAATTAAATGGACTCGAATGGAATGGAAACGAAAGGAATGTCATCGAATGGAATTGAATCGATTGGAATGAAATCGCATAGAATGGAGTGGAATCAAATGGAATTGAATCGAAAGGAAAGGAAGCGAATGGACTGAAATGAAATGGAATGGAATTGAATGGAAAGTAATGCAATGGAATAGAATGGAACGAAATTTCACGGAATGGAATCAAACTGAATGGAGTCAAATCAATGGAATCAAATCAAATGGAATGGAAAGGAATTGAATGGAGTAGATGGGATTGGATGGGATTGGAATGAAATGTACTGGAAAGGACTCGAATTTCATGAAACGGAATGGAATGAATTGGAACGGAATGGACTCGAATGGAATGGAATGTCATGGGATGGCATCAAATGGAATGGCATCAAATGGAATGGAATCGAATGCAATGGAATGCTATGGAATGGAATGGAATGCATTGGAATGGAATGTCCTCTAATGGAATGGATTCGAGTGGAATGGAATTGAATATAATGGAGTCGAATGAAATGGAATTGAAAGGAATGGGATCGAATACAATGGAATATACTGGAATGTAATGTAATGAACTCGAATGTAATTGACTGGAATGGAATGTACATGAATGGAATGTAATCGAATGGAAAGTAATCCAATGGAATAGAATCTAATGCAATAAAATCGACTCAGATAGAGTAGAATGTAATGGAATGGAGTGCAGTGCAAAGGAATGGAATGGAATGGAATGCAATGGAATGGAATGGAATGGAATGGAATGGAATGGAATGGAATGGAATGGAATGGGATGGAATGGTATGGAATGGATAGTAATAGACTGGAGTGAAATGGACTGGAAAGGAATGGACTCAAATTGAAAGGGCTCGAAAGGAATGGAGTCAAATGGAATGGTCTGGAATGGAATGAACACGAATGTAATGCAACCCAATAGAATGGAATCGAATGGCATGGAATATAAAGAAATGGAATCGAAGAGAATGGAAACAAATGGAATGGAATTGAATGGAATGGAATTGAATGGAATGGGAACGAATGGAGTGAAATTGTATGCAGTAGAAGAGAATAGAATGGAATGCAAGCGAAAGGAAAGGAATGGATTGGAATGGAATGGAATTCATTGGAATGGAAGGGAATGTAGTGTAATGGACAGGCCTGGAATAAAGTGGAATGCTACGGTCTCGAATGGAATAAAAATGTATGGAATGGAATGCAATGAAACGGAATCGAATGTCATAGAATGTAATGGAATGCAAAAAAATGGAATCCAAAATCATTGACTGGAAAGGCTGGGTGTCGAAAGGAATTGACTCCAATGGAATGGAATCGAATGGAAATGGAAGTGAATAGAATCGAACTAAATCGAATGGAATGGAATTGATAGGAACGGCATCGAAAGGAATGCAATGATTTGGCATGGAATGGAATCGAATGGCATCGAATGGAATGGAATGGAATGCAATGGAATGGAATGTATTAGAATGTAATGAACTTTAATGGAATGTACTCGAATGGATTCGACTGGAATGGAATGTTCTGGAAGTGAATGGACTCCAATGGAATGGATTCAAAAGGAATGGAATCGTACGGAATGGAATCTAATGGAATGGAATTAAATGGAAATGAATCAAATTGAATAGCACGGAATTGAATTGAATGGAATGGAATGCAATGGAATCTAATGAAACGGAAAGGAAAGGAATGGAATGGAATGGAATGGGCTGGAATGGAAAGGAATCGAAACGAATGGAATGGAATCGAAGTGAAGAGACTGGAATGGAATGCACTGGAATGGAAGGGAGTGTAATGGAAGGTTCTCGAAAAAAATGGAATCGAATGGAATGGAATTGAATGGAACGGAATAGAGTCGAATGGAATTGAATGGAATGGAATGGACTAGAGTGAAATGGAATCGAACCACAAGGAATGGACAGGAATAGAATGGTCTCGAATTGAATGGAATCGTATGGAATGGCATCAAACGGAATGGAATGGACAGCCACGGAATGGAATGCACTCGAAAGCAATGGAGTCGAAACTAATGGACTGGAATAGAATGGACTCGACTGGTACGGACTCCAATGGAATGGAATCGAATGGAAGGGAATCGAACGGAAGGGAATCGAACGGAATGGACTCGAAGGGAAAAGACTGCAATGGAAAGGTCTCGAATGGAATGGAAATTAATGGAATGGAATGGAATCGAATGAAATGGAGTCAAAAGGAATGGAATCGAATGGCAAGAAATCGAATGTAATGGAATCGCCAGGAATTGATGTGAATGGAACGGAATGGAATGGAATCCAAAGGAATGGAATAGAATGGAATGGAATCGAATGGAAAGGACTCGAATGGAAATCACTCGAATAGAATGCAATTTAATAAAATAGGATCAAATGTAATGGAATGGAATGGAAAGGAATCGAAACGAAAGGAATGGAGACAGATGGAATGGAATGGAACAGAGAGCAATGGTATAGAATGGAATGGAATCATCTGGAATGGAATTGAATGGAATGGAATAATATGAAATGGAATGGAATGGAATGGAATGGAATGCCCTTGAATTGAATGGACTGGAATAGAATGGACTCAAACAGAGTGGAATGGAAAGTGTGGAGATAGAATGGAATGAACTCCTTTGGAATGGTGTAGTATGCAATGCAATCGACTGGCAGGGAATCAAAAGGTACGTAATCGAAAGGATTGGACTGGAATGCAAAGGACTCGAATAGATTGGAAACGGAATGCAAAGGAATGGAATGGAATAGTATGGAATGCAATGGAAGGGAATGGAGTGGAATAGACTAGAGTGGAATGGAATGGACTGGAAAGCAATGGACTGGAATGGAACTTTCTTGGATGGACTGGAATCAAACGGAATGGAATGCAGTGCAATCAAATGGCATGGAATAAAATAGAATGAAAGAGAATCAAATGGAATTGAATCGAATGGAATCGAATGGATTGGAAAGGAATAGAATGGAATGGAATGGAATTGACTCAAATGGAATGGACTAGAATGGAATGGATTCGAATGGAAGGCAAAGGAATGGAATCTATTGGAATGGACTGTAATGGAATGGAATGGAAGGGATTGGAATGGACTCGAATGGAATGGACTGCAATAGAAAGGATTCGAATGGAATGAAAAAGAATTGAATGGAATAGAACAGAATGGAATGAAATCGAATGAAATGGAATGGAATAGAAAGGAATGGAATGAAATGGAATGGAAAGGATTCGAATGGAATGCAATCGAATGGAATGGAATCGAACGGAATGGAATAAAATGGAAGAAAACTGGCAAGAAATGGAATCGAAATGAATGGAGTGTTATGGAACGGACTCAAAAGGAATTGAATGTAATAGAATGGAGTGGAGTGGACTCGAATATAATGGACTGGAATGGAATGAAATCACATGGAATGGGAACGAATGGAATGGAATGGAAAGGAATGGAATCGAATGGAAAGGAATCGAATGGAAGGGAATGAAATTGAATCAACAGGAATGGAAGGGAATAGAATAGACTGTAATGGAATGGACTCGAATAGAATGGACACGAATGCTCAAATTAAATGGACTCGAATGGAATGGAAACGAAAGGAATGTCATCGAATGGAATTGAATCGATTGGAATGAAATCGCATAGAATGGAGTGGAATCAAATGGAATTGAATCGAAAGGAAAGGAAGCGAATGGACTGAAATGAAATGGAATGGAATTGAATGGAAAGTAATGCAATGGAATAGAATGGAACGAAATTTCACGGAATGGAATCAAACTGAATGGAATCAAATCAATGGAATCAAATCAAATGGAATGGAAAGGAATTGAATGGAGTAGATGGGATTGGATGGGATTGGAATGAAATGTACTGGAAAGGACTCGAATTTCATGAAACGGAATGGAATGAATTGGAACGGAATTGACTCGAATGGAATGGAATGTCATGGGATGGCATCAAATGGAATGACATCAAATGGAATGGAATCGAATGCAATGGAATGCTATGGAATGGAATGGAATGCATTGGAATGGAATGTCCGCTAATGGAATGGATTCGAGTGGAATGGAATTGAATATAATGGAGTCGAATGAAATGGAATTGAAAGGAATGGGATCGAATACAATGGAATATACTGGAATGTAACGTAATGAACTCGAATGTAATTGACTGGAATGGAATGTACATGAATGGAATGTAATCGAATGGAAAGTAATCCAATGGAATAGAATCTAATGCAATAAAATCGACTCAGATAGAGTAGAATGTAATGGAATGGAGTGCAGTGCAATGGAATGGAATGGAATGGAATGCAATGGAATGGAATGGAATGGAATGGAATGGAATGGAATGGAATGGGATGGAATGGTATGGAATGGATAGTAATGGACTGGAGTGAAATGGACTGGAAAGGAATGGACTCAAATTGAAAGGGCTCGAAAGGAATGGAGTCAAATGGAATGGTCTGGAATGGAATGAACTCGAATGTAATGCAACCCAATAGAATGGAATCGAATGGCATGGAATATAAAGAAATGGAATCGAAGAGAATGGAAACAAAGGGAATGGAATTGAATGGAATGGAATTGAATGGAATGGGAACGAATGGAGTGAAATTGTATGCAGTAGAAGAGAATAGAATGGAATGCAAGCGAAAGGAAAGGAATGGATTGGAATGGAATGGAATTCATTGGAATGGAAGGGAATGTAGTGTAATGGACAGGCCTGGAATAAAGTGGAATGCTACGGTCTCGAATGGAATAAAAATGTATGGAATGGAATGCAATGAAACGGAATCGAATGTCATAGAATGTAATGGAATGCAAAAAAATGGAATCCAAAATCATTGACTGGAAAGGCTGGGTGTCGAAAGGAATTGACTCCAATGGAATGGAATCGAATGGAATGGAAGTGAATAGAATCGAACTAAATCGAATGGAATGGAATTGATAGGAACGGAATGGAAAGGAATGCAATGATTTGGCATGGAATGGAATCGAATGGCATCGAATGGAATGGAATGGAATGCAATGGAATGGAATGTATTAGAATGTAATGAACTTTAATGGAATGTACTCGAATGGATTCGACTGGAATGGAATGTTCTGGAAGTGAATGGACTCCAATGGAATGGATTCAAAAGGAATGGAATCGTACGGAATGGAATCTAATGGAATGGAATTAAATGGAAATGAATCAAATTGAATAGCACGGAATTGAATTGAATGGAATGGAATGCAATGGAATCTAATGAAACGGAAAGGAAAGGAATGGAATGGAATGGAATGGGCTGGAATGGAAAGGAATCGAAACGAATGGAATGGAATCGAAGTGAAGAGACTGGAATGGAATGCACTGGAATGGAAGGGAGTGTAATGCAAGGTTCTCGAAAAAAATGGAATCGAATGGAATGGAATTGAATGGAACGTAATAGAGTCGAATGGAATTGAATGGAATGGAATGGACTAGAGTGAAATGGAATCGAACCACAAGGAATGGACAGGAATAGAATGGTCTCGAATTGAATGGAATCGTATGGAATGGCATCAAACGGAATGGAATGGACAGCCACGGAATGGAATGCACTCGAATGCAATGGAGTCGAAACTAATGGACTGGAATAGAATGGACTCGACTGGTACGGACTCCAATGGAATGGAATCGAATGGAAGGGAATCGAACGGAAGGGAATCGAACGGAATGGACTCGAAGGGAAAAGACTGCAATGGAAAGGTCTCGAATGGAATGGAAATTAATGGAATGGAATGGAATCGAATGAAATGGAGTCAAAAGGAATGGAATCGAATGGCAAGAAATCGAATGTAATGGAATCGCCAGGAATTGATGTGAACGGAACGGAATGGAATGGGATCCAAAGGAATGGAATAGAATGGAATGGAATCGAATGGAAAGGACTCGAATGGAAATCACTCGAATAGAATGCAATTTGATAAAATAGGATCAAATGTAATGGAATGGAATGGAAAGGAATCGAAACGAAAGGAATGGAGACAGATGGAATGGAATGGAACAGAGAGCAATGGTATAGAATGGAATGGAATCATCTGGAATGGAATTGAATGGAATGGAATAATATGAAATGGAATGGAATGGAATGGAATGGAATGCCCTTGAATTAAATGGACTGGAATGGAATGGACTCAAACAGAGTGGAATGGAAAGTGTGGAGATAGAATGGAATGAACTCCTTTGGAATGGTGTAGTATGCAATGCAATCGACTGGCAGGGAATCAAAAGGAATGTAATCGAATGGATTGGACTGGAATGCAATGGACTCGAATAGATTGGAAACGGAATGCAAAGGAATGGAATGGAATAGTATGGAATGCAATGGAAGGGAATGGAGTGGAATAGACTAGAGTGGAATGGAATGGACTGGAAAGCAATGGACTGGAATGGAACTTTCTTG
Source organism: Homo sapiens (assembly GCF_000001405.40). Classification (NCBI taxonomy): domain Eukaryota; kingdom Metazoa; phylum Chordata; class Mammalia; order Primates; family Hominidae; genus Homo; species Homo sapiens. The sequence continues at coordinate 56,751,948 of NC_000024.10, forward strand.
GATGGACTGGAATCAAACGGAATGGAATGCAATGCAATCAAATGGCATGGAATAAATTAGAATGAAAGAGAATCAAATGGAATTGAATCGAATGGAATCGAATGGATTGGAAAGGAATAGAATGGAATGGAATGGAATTGACTCAAATGGAATGGACTAGAATGGAATGGATTCGAATGGAAGGCAAAGGAATGGAATCTATTGGAATGGACTGTAATGGAATGGAATGGAAGGGATTGGAATGGACTCGAATGGAATGGACTGCAATAGAAAGGATTCGAATGGAATGCAATCGAATGGAATGGAATCGAACGGAATGGAATAAAATGGAAGAAAACTGGCAAGAAATGGAATCGAAATGAATGGAGTGTTATGGAACGGACTCAAAAGGAATTGAATGTAATAGAATGGAGTGGAGTGGACTCGAATATAATGGACTGGAATGGAATGAAATCACATGGAATGGGAACGAATGGAATGGAATGGAAAGGAATGGAATCGAATGGAAAGGAATCGAATGGAAGGGAATGAAATTGAATCAACACGAATGGAAGGGAATAGAATAGACTGTAATGGAATGGACTCGAATAGAATGGACACGAATGCTCAAATTAAATGGACTCGAATGGAATGGAAACGAAAGGAATGTCATCGAATGGAATTGAATCAATTGGAATGAAATCGCATAGAATGGAGTGGAATCAAATGGAATTGAATCGAAAGGAAAGGAAGCGAATGGACTGAAATGAAATGGAATGGAATTGAATGGAAAGTAATGCAATGGAATAGAATGGAACGAAATTTCACGGAATGGAATCAAACTGAATGGAATCAAATCAATGGAATCAAATCAAATGGAATGGAAAGGAATTGAATGGAGTAGATGGGATTGGATGGGATTGGAATGAAATGTACTGGAAAGGACTCGAATTTCATGAAACGGAATGGAATGAATTGGAACGGAATGGACTCGAATGGAATGGAATGTCATGGGATGGCATCAAATGGAATGGCATCAAATGGAATGGAATCGAATGCAATGGAATGCTATGGAATGGAATGGAATGCATTGGAATGGAATGTCCTCTAATGGAATGGATTCGAGTGGAATGGAATTGAATATAATGGAGTCGAATGAAATGGAATTGAAAGGAATGGGATCGAATACAATGGAATATACTGGAATGTAACGTAATGAACTCGAATGTAATTGACTGGAATGGAATGTACATGAATGGAATGTAACCGAATGGAAAGTAATCCAATGGAATAGAATCTAATGCAATAAAATCGACTAAGATAGAGTAGAATGTAATGGAATGGAGTGCAGTGCAATGGAATGGAATGGAATGGAATGCAATGGAATGGAATGGAATGGAATGGAATGGAATGGAATGGAATGGGATGGAATGGTATGGAATGGATAGTAATGGACTGGAGTGAAATGGACTGGAAAGGAATGGACTCAAATTGAAAGGGCTCGAAAGGAATGGAGTCAAATGGAATGGTCTGGAATGGAATGAACACGAATGTAATGCAACCCAATAGAATGGAATCGAATGGCATGGAATATAAAGAAATGGAATCGAAGAGAATGGAAACAAATGGAATGGAATTGAATGGAATGGAATTGAATGGAATGGGAACGAATGGAGTGAAATTGTATGCGGTAGAAGAGAATAGAATGGAATGCAAGCGAAAGGAAAGGAATGGATTGGAATGGAATGGAATTCATTGGAATGGAAGGGAATGTAGTGTAATGGACAGGCCTGGAATAAAGTGGAATGCTACGGTCTCGAATGGAATAAAAATGTATGGAATGGAATGCAATGAAACGGAATCGAATGTCATAGAATGTAATGGAATGCAAAAAAATGGAATCCAAAATCATTGACTGGAAAGGCTGGGTGTCGAAAGGAATTGACTCCAATGGAATGGAATCGAATGGAATGGAAGTGAATAGAATCGAACTAAATCGAATGGAATGGAATTGATAGGAACGGAATGGAAAGGAATGCAATGATTTGGTATGGAATGGAATCGAATGGCATCGAATGGAATGGAATGGAATGCAATGGAATGGAATGTATTAGAATGTAATGAACTTTAATGGAATGTACTCGAATGGATTCGACTGGAATGGAATGTTCTGGAAGTGAATGGACTCCAATGGAATGGATTCAAAAGGAATGGAATCGTACGGAATGGAATCTAATGGAATGCAATTAAATGGAAATGAATCAAATTGAATAGCACGGAATTGAATTGAATGGAATGGAATGCAATGGAATCTAATGAAACGGAAAGGAAAGGAATGGAATGGAATGGAATGGGCTGGAATGGAAAGGAATCGAAACGAATGGAATGGAATCGAACTGAAGAGACTGGAATGGAATGCACTGGAATGGAAGGGAGTGTAATGGAAGGTTGTCGAAAAAAATGGAATCGAATGGAATGGAATTGAATGGAACGGAATAGAGTCGAATGGAATTGAATGGAATGGAATGGACTAGAGTGAAATGGAATCGAACCACAAGGAATGGACAGGAATAGAATGGTCTCGAATTGAATGGAATCGTATGGAATGGCATCAAACGGAATGGAATGGACAGCCACGGAATGGAATGCACTCGAATGCAATGGAGTCGAAACTAATGGACTGGAATAGAATGGACTCGACTGGTACGGACCCCAATGGAATGGAATCGAATGGAAGGGAATCGAACGGAATGGACTCGAAGGGAAAAGACTGCAATGGAAAGGTCTCGAATGGAATGGAAATTAATGGAATGGAATGGAATCGAATGAAATGGAGTCAAAAGGAATGGAATCGAATGGCAAGAAATCGAATGTAATGGAATCGCCAGGAATTGATGTGAACGGAACGGAATGGAATGGAATCCAAAGGAATGGAATAGAATGGAATGGAATCGAATGGAAAGGACTCGAATGGAAATCACTCGAATAGAATGCAATTTAATAAAATAGGATCAAATGTAATGGAATGGAATGGAAAGGAATCGAAACGAAAGGAATGGAGACAGATGGAATGGAATGGAACAGAGAGCAATGGTATAGAATGGAATGGAATCATCTGGAATGGAATTGAATGGAATGGAATAATATGAAATGGAATGGAATGGAATGGAATGGAATGCCCTTGAATTAAATGGACTGGAATGGAATGGACTCAAACAGAGTGGAATGGAAAGTGTGGAGATAGAATGGAATGAACTCCTTTGGAATGGTGTAGTATGCAATGCAATCGACTGGCAGGGAATCAAAAGGAATGTAATCGAATGGATTGGACTGGAATGCAATGGACTCGAATAGATTGGAAACGGAATGCAAAGGAATGGAATGGAATAGTATGGAATGCAATGGAAGGGAATGGAGTGGAATAGACTAGAGTGGAATGGAATGGACTGGAAAGCAATGGACTGGAATGGAACTTTCTTGGATGGACTGGAATCAAACGGAATGGAATGCAGTGCAATCAAATGGCATGGAATAAAATAGAATGAAAGAGAATCAAATGGAATTGAATCGAATGGAATCGAATGGATTGGAAAGGAATAGAATGGAATGGAATGGAATTGACTCAAATGGAATGGACTAGAATGGAATGGATTCGAATGGAAGGCAAAGGAATGGAATCTATTGGAATGGACTGTAATGGAATGGAATGGAAGGGATTGGAATGGACTCGAATGGAATGGACTGCAATAGAAAGGATTCGAATGGAATGAAAAAGAATTGAATGGAATAGAACAGAATGGAATCAAATCGAATGAAATGGAATGGAATAGAAAGGAATGGAATGAAATGGAATGGAAAGGATTCGAATGGAATGCAATCGAATGGAATGGAATCGAACGGAATGGAATAAAATGGAAGAAAACTGGCAAGAAATGGAATCGAAATGAATGGAGTGTTATGGAACGGACTCAAAAGGAATTGAATGTAATAGAATGGAGTGGAGTGGACTCGAATATAATGGACTGGAATGGAATGAAATCACATGGAATGGGAACGAATGGAATGGAATGGAAAGGAATGGAATCGAATGGAAAGGAATCGAATGGAAGGGAATGAAATTGAATCAACAGGAATGGAAGGGAATAGAATAGACGGTAATGGAATGGACTCGAATAGAATGGACACGAATGCTCAAATTAAATGGACTCGAATGGAATGGAAACGAAAGGAATGTCATCGAATGGAATTGAATCGATTGGAATGAAATCGCATAGAATGGAGTGGAATCAAATGGAATTGAATCGAAAGGAAAGGAAGCGAATGGACTGAAATGAAATGGAATGGAATTGAATGGAAAGTAATGCAATGGAATAGAATGGAACGAAATTTCACGGAATGGAATCAAACTGAATGGAATCAAATCAATGGAATCAAATCAAATGGAATGGAAAGGAATTGAATGGAGTAGATGGGATTGGATGGGATTGGAATGAAATGTACTGGAAAGGACTCGAATTTCATGAAACGGAATGGAATGAATTGGAACGGAATTGACTCGAATGGAATGGAATGTCATGGGATGGCATCAAATGGAATGACATCAAATGGAATGGAATCGAATGCAATGGAATGCTATGGAATGGAATGGAATGCATTGGAATGGAATGTCCGCTAATGGAATGGATTCGAGTGGAATGGAATTGAATATAATGGAGTCGAATGAAATCGAATTGAAAGGAATGGGATCGAATACAATGGAATATACTGGAATGTAACGTAATGAACTGGAATGTAATTGACTGGAATGGAATGTACATGAATGGAATGTAATCGAATGGAAAGTAATCCAATGGAATAGAATCTAATGCAATAAAATCGACTCAGATAGAGTAGAATGTAATGGAATGGAGTGCAGTGCAATGGAATGGAATGGAATGGAATGGAATGGAATGGAATGGGATGGAATGGTATGGAATGGATAGTAATGGACTGGAGTGAAATGGACTGGAAAGGAATGGACTCAAATTGAAAGGGCTCGAAAGGAATGGAGTCAAATGGAATGGTCTGGAATGGAATGAACACGAATGTAATGCAACCCAATAGAATGGAATCGAATGGCATGGAATATAAAGAAATGGAATCGAAGAGAATGGAAACAAATGGAATGGAATTGAATGGAATGGAATTGAATGGAATGGGAACGAATGGAGTGAAATTGTATGCAGTAGAAGAGAATAGAATGGAATGCAAGCGAAAGGAAAGGAATGGATTGGAATGGAATGGAATTCATTGGAATGGAAGGGAATGTAGTGTAATGGACAGGCCTGGAATAAAGTGGAATGCTACGGTCTCGAATGGAATAAAAATGTATGGAATGGAATGCAATGAAACGGAATCGAATGTCATAGAATGTAATGGAATGCAAAAAAATGGAATCCAAAATCATTGACTGGAAAGGCTGGGTGTCGAAAGGAATTGACTCCAATGGAATGGAATCGAATGGAATGGAAGTGAATAGAATCGAACTAAATCGAATGGAATGGAATTGATAGGAACGGAATGGAAAGGAATGCAATGATTTGGCTTGGAATGGAATCGAATGGCATCGAATGGAATGGAATGGAATGCAATGGAATGGAATGTATTAGAATGTAATGAACTTTAATGGAATGTACTCGAATGGATTCGACTGGAATGGAATGTTCTGGAAGTGAATGGACTCCAATGGAATGGATTCAAAAGGAATGGAATCGTACGGAATGGAATCTAATGGAATGGAATTAAATGGAAATGAATCAAATTGAATAGCACGGAATTGAATTGAATGGAATGGAATGCAATGGAATCTAATGAAACGGAAAGGAAAGGAATGGAATGGAATGGAATGGGCTGGAATGGAAAGGAATCGAAACGAATGGAATGGAATCGAAGTGAAGAGACTGGAATGGAATGCACTGGAATGGAAGGGAGTGTAATGGAAGGTTCTCGAAAAAAATGGAATCGAATGGAATGGAATTGATTGGAACGGAATAGAGTCGAATGGAATTGAATGGAATGGAATGGACTAGAGTGAAATGGAATCGAACCACAAGGAATGGACAGGAATAGAATGGTCTCGAATTGAATGGAATCGTATGGAATGGCATCAAACGGAATGGAATGGACAGCCACGGAATGGAATGCACTCGAATGCAATGGAGTCGAAACTAATGGACTGGAATAGAATGGACTCGACTGGTACGGACTCCAATGGAATGGAATCGAATGGAAGGGAATCGAACGGAATGGAATCGAACGGAATGGACTCGAAGGGAAAAGACTGCAATGGAAAGGTCTCGAATGGAATGGAAATTAATGGAATGGAATGGAATCGAATGAAATGGAGTCAAAAGGAATGGAATCGAATGGCAAGAAATCGAATGTAATGGAATCGCCAGGAATTGATGTGAACGGAACGGAATGGAATGGAATCCAAAGGAATGGAATAGAATGGAATGGAATCGAATGGAAAGGACTCGAATGGAAATCACTCGAATAGAATGCAATTTAATAAAATAGGATCAAATGTAATGGAATGGAATGGAAAGGAATCGAAACGAAAGGAATGGAGACAGATGGAATGGAATGGAACAGAGAGCAATGGTATAGAATGGAATGGAATCATCTGGAATGGAATTGAATGGAATGGAATAATATGAAATGGAATGGAATGGAATGGAATGGAATGCCCTTGAATTAAATGGACTGGAATGGAATGGACTCAAACAGAGTGGAATGGAAAGTGTGGAGATAGAATGGAATGAACTCCTTTGGAATGGTGTAGTATGCAATGCAATCGACTGGCAGGGAATCAAAAGGAATGTAATCGAATGGATTGGACTGGAATGCAATGGACTCGAATAGATTGGAAACGGAATGCAAAGGAATGGAATGGAATAGTATGGAATGCAATGGAAGGGAATGGAGTGGAATAGACTAGAGTGGAATGGAATGGACTGGAAAGCAATGGACTGGAATGGAACTTTCTTGGATGGACTGGAATCAAACGGAATGGAATGCAATGCAATCAAATGGCATGGAATAAAATAGAATGAAAGAGAATCAAATGGAATTGAATCGAATGGAATCGAATGGATTGGAAAGGAATAGAATGGAATGGAATGGAATGGACTCAAATGGAATGTACTAGAATGGAATGGATTCGAATGGAAGGCAAAGGAATGGAATCTATTGGAATGGACTGTAATGGAATGGAATGGAAGGGATTGGAATGGACTCGAATGGAATGGACTGCAATAGAAAGGATTCGAATGGAATGAAAAAGAATTGAATGGAATAGAACAGAATGGAATCAAATCGAATGAAATGGAATGGAATAGAAAGGAATGGAATGAAATGGAATGGAAAGGATTCGAATGGAATGCAATCGAATGGAATGGAATCGAACGGAATGGAATAAAATGGAAGAAAACTGGCAAGAAATGGAATCGAAATGAATGGAGTGTTATGGAACGGACTCAAAAGGAATTGAATGTAATAGAATGGAGTGGAGTGGACTCGAATATAATGGACTGGAATGGAATGAAATCACATGGAATGGGAACGAATGGAATGGAATGGAAAGGAATGGAATCGAATGGAAAGGAATCGAATGGAAGGGAATGAAATTGAATCAACAGGAATGGAAGGGAATAGAATAGACTGTAATGGAATGGACTCGAATAGAATGGACACGAATGCTCAAATTAAATGGACTCGAATGGAATGGAAACGAAAGGAATGTCATCGAATGGAATTGAATCGATTGGAATGAAATCGCATAGAATGGAGTGTAATCAAATGGAATTGAATTGAAAGGAAAGGAAGCGAATGGACTGAAATGAAATGGAATGGAATTGAATGGAAAGTAATGCAATGGAATAGAATGGAACGAAATTTCACGGAATGGAATCAAACTGAATGGAATCAAATCAATGGAATCAAATCAAATGGAATGGAAAGGAATTGAATGGAGTAGATGGGATTGGATGGGATTGGAATGAAATGTACTGGAAAGGACTCGAATTTCATGAAACGGAATGGAATGAATTGGAACGGAATTGACTCGAATGGAATGGAATGTCATGGGATGGCATCAAATGGAATGACATCAAATGGAATGGAATCGAATGCAATGGAATGCTATGGAATGGAATGGAATGCATTGGAATGGAATGTCCGCTAATGGAATGGATTCGAGTGGAATGGAATTGAATATAATGGAGTCGAATGAAATGGAATTGAAAGGAATGGGATCGAATACAATGGAATATACTGGAATGTAACGTAATGAACTCGAATGTAATTGACTGGAATGGAATGTACATGAATGGAATGTAATCGAATGGAAAGTAATCCAATGGAATAGAATCTAATGCAATAAAATCGACTCAGATAGAGTAGAATGTAATGGAATGGAGTGCAGTGCAATGGAATGGAATGGAATGGAATGCAATGGAATGGAATGGAATGGAATGGAATGGAATGGAATGGAATGGAATGGAATGGGATGGAATGGTATGGAATGGATAGTAATGGACTGGAGTGAAATGGACTGGAAAGGAATGGACTCAAATTGAAAGGGCTCGAAAGGAATGGAGTCAAATGGAATGGTCTGGAATGGAATGAACACGAATGTAATGCAACCCAATAGAATGGAATCGAATGGCATGGAATATAAAGAAATGGAATCGAAGAGAATGGAAACAAATGGAATGGAATTGAATGGAATGGAATTGAATGGAATGGGAACGAATGGAGTGAAATTGTATGCAGTAGAAGAGAATAGAATGGAATGCAAGCGAAAGGAAAGGAATGGATTGGAATGGAATGGAATTCATTGGAATGGAAGGGAATGTAGTGTAATGGACAGGCCTGGAATAAAGTGGAATGCTACGGTCTCGAATGGAATAAAAATGTATGGAATGGAATGCAATGAAACGGAATCGAATGTCATAGAATGTAATGGAATGCAAAAAAATGGAATCCAAAATCATTGACTGGAAAGGCTGGGTGTCGAAAGGAATTGACTCCAATGGAATGGAATCGAATGGAATGGAAGTGAATAGAATCGAACTAAATCGAATGGAATGGAATTGATAGGAACGGAATGGAAAGGAATGCAATGATTTGGCATGGAATGGAATCGAATGGCATCGAATGGAATGGAATGGAATGCAATGGAATGGAATGTATTAGAATGTAATGAACTTTAATGGAATGTACTCGAATGGATTCGACTGGAATGGAATGTTCTGGAAGTGAATGGACTCCAATGGAATGGATTCAAAAGGAATGGAATCGTACGGAATGGAATCTAATGGAATGGAATTAAATGGAAATGAATCAAATTGAATAGCACGGAATTGAATTGAATGGAATCGAATGCAATGGAATCTAATGAAACGGAAAGGAAAGGAATGGAATGGAATGGAATGGGCTGGAATGGAAAGGAATCGAAACGAATGGAATGGAATCGAAGTGAAGAGACTGGAATGGAATGCACTGGAATGGAAGGGAGTGTAATGCAAGGTTCTCGAAAATAATGGAATCGAATGGAATGGAATTGAATGGAACGGAATAGAGTCGAATGGAATTGAATGGAATGGAATGGACTAGAGTGAAATGGAATCGAACCACAAGGAATGGACAGGAATAGAATGGTCTCGAATTGAATGGAATCGTATGGAATGGCATCAAACGGAATGGAATGGACAGCCACGGAATGGAATGCACTCGAATGCAATGGAGTCGAAACTAATGGACTGGAATAGAATGGACTCGACTGGTACGGACTCCAATGGAATGGAATCGAATGGAAGGGAATCGAACGGAAGGGAATCGAACGGAATGGACTCGAAGGGAAAAGACTGCAATGGAAAGGTCTCGAATGGAATGGAAATTAATGGAATGGAATGGAATCGAATGAAATGGAGTCAAAAGGAATGGAATCGAATGGCAAGAAATCGAATGTAATGGAATCGCCAGGAATTGATGTGAACGGAACGGAATGGAATGGGATCCAAAGGAATGGAATAGAATGGAATGGAATCGAATGGAAAGGACTCGAATGGAAATCACTCGAATAGAATGCAATTTGATAAAATAGGATCAAATGTAATGGAATGGAATGGAAAGGAATCGAAACGAAAGGAATGGAGACAGATGGAATGGAATGGAACAGAGAGCAATGGTATAGAATGGAATGGAATCATCTGGAATGGAATTGAATGGAATGGAATAATATGAAATGGAATGGAATGGAATGGAATGGAATGCCCTTGAATTAAATGGACTGGAATGGAATGGACTCAAACAGAGTGGAATGGAAAGTGTGGAGATAGAATGGAATGAACTCCTTTGGAATGGTGTAGTATGCAATGCAATCGACTGGCAGGGAATCAAAAGGAATGTAATCGAATGGATTGGACTGGAATGCAATGGACTCGAAGAGATTGGAAACGGAATGCAAAGGAATGGAATGGAATAGTATGGAATGCAATGGAAGGGAATGGAGTGGAATAGACTAGAGTGGAATGGAATGGACTGGAAAGCAATGGACTGGAATGGAACTTTCTTGGATGGATTGGAATCAAACGGAATGGAATGCAATGCAATCAAATGGCATGGAATAAAATAGAATGAAAGAGAATCAAATGGAATTGAATCGAATGGAATCGAATGGATTGGAAAGGAATAGAATGGAATGGAATGGAATTGACTCAAATGGAATGGACTAGAATGGAATGGATTCGAATGGAAGGCAAAGGAATGGAATCTATTGGAATGGAATGGAAGGGATTGGAATGGACTCGAATGGAATGGACTGCAATAGAAAGGATTCGAATGGAATGAAAAAGAATTGAATGGAATAGAACAGAATGGAATCAAATCGAATGAAATGGAATGGAATAGAAAGGAATGGAATGAAATGGAATGGAAAGGATTCGAATGGAATGCAATCGAATGGAATGGAATCGAACGGAATGGAATAAAATGGAAGAAAACTGGCAAGAAATGGAATCGAAATGAATGGAGTGTTATGGAACGGACTCAAAAGGAATTGAATGTAATAGAATGGAGTGGAGTGGACTCGAATATAATGGACTGGAATGGAATGAAATCACATGGAATGGGAACGAATGGAATGGAATGGAAAGGAATGGAATCGAATGGAAAGGAATCGAATGGAAGGGAATGAAATTGAATCAACACGAATGGAAGGGAATAGAATAGACTGTAATGGAATGGACTCGAATAGAATGGACACGAATGCTCAAATTAAATGGACTCGAATGGAATGGAAACGAAAGGAATGTCATCGAATGGAATTGAATCGATTGGAATGAAATCGCATAGAATGGAGTGGAATCAAATGGAATTGAATCGAAAGGAAAGGAAGCGAATGGACTGAAATGAAATGGAATGGAATTGAATGGAAAGTAATGCAATGGAATAGAATGGAACGAAATTTCACGGAATGGAATCAAACTGAATGGAATCAAATCAATGGAATCAAATCAAATGGAATGGAAAGGAATTGAATGGAGTAGATTGGATTGGATGGGATTGGAATGAAATGTACTGGAAAGGACTCGAATTTCATGAAACGGAATGGAATGAATTGGAACGGAATGGACTCGAATGGAATGGAATGTCATGGGATGGCATCAAATGGAATGACATCAAATGGAATGGAATCGAATGCAATGGAATGCTATGGAATGGAATGGAATGCATTGGAATGGAATGTCCTCTAATGGAATGGATTCGAGTGGAATGGAATTGAATATAATGGAGTCGAATGAAATGGAATTGAAAGGAATGGGATCGAATACAATGGAATATACAGGAATGTAACGTAATGAACTCGAATGTAATTGACTGGAATGGAATGTACATGAATGGAATGTAATCGAATGGAAAGTAATCCAATGGAATAGAATCTAATGCAATAAAATCGACTCAGATAGAGTAGAATGTAATGGAATGGAGTGCAGTGCAATGGAATGGAATGGAATGGAATGCAATGGAATGGAATGGAATGGAATGGAATGGAATGGAATGGAATGGGATGGAATGGTATGGAATGGATAGTAATGGACTGGAGTGAAATGGACTGGAAAGGAATGGACTCAAATTGAAAGGGCTCGAAAGGAATGGAGTCAAATGGAATGGTCTGGAATGGAATGAACACGAATGTAATGCAACCCAATAGAATGGAATCGAATGGCATGGAATATAAAGAAATGGAATCGAAGAGAATGGAAACAAATGGAATGGAATTGAATGGAATGGAATTGAATGGAATGGGAACGAATGGAGTGAAATTGTATGCAGTAGAAGAGAATAGAATGGAATGCAAGCGAAAGGAAAGGAATGGATTGGAATGGAATGGAATTCATTGGAATGGAAGGGAATGTAGTGTAATGGACAGGCCTGGAATAAAGTGGAATGCTACGGTCTCGAATGGAATAAAAATGTATGGAATGGAATGCAATGAAACGGAATCGAATGTCATAGAATGTAATGGAATGCAAAAAAATGGAATCCAAAATCATTGACTGGAAAGGCTGGGTGTCGAAAGGAATTGACTCCAATGGAATGGAATCGAATGGAATGGAAGTGAATAGAATCGAACTAAATCGAATGGAATGGAATTGATAGGAACGGAATGGAAAGGAATGCAATGATTTGGCATGGAATGGAATCGAATGGCATCGAATGGAATGGAATGGAATGCAATGGAATGGAATGTATTAGAATGTAATGAACTTTAATGGAATGTACTCGAATGGATTCGACTGGAATGGAATGTTCTGGAAGTGAATGGACTCCAATGGAATGGATTCAAAAGGAATGGAATCGTACGGAATGGAATCTAATGGAATGGAATTAAATGGAAATGAATCAAATTGAATAGCACGGAATTGAATTGAATGGAATGGAATGCAATGGAATCTAATGAAACGGAAAGGAAAGGAATGGAATGGAATGGAATGGGCTGGAATGGAAAGGAATCGAAACGAATGGAATGGAATCGAAGTGAAGAGACTGGAATGGAATGCACTGGAATGGAAGGGAGTGTAATGCAAGGTTCTCGAAAAAAATGGAATCGAATGGAATGGAATTGAATGGAACGGAATAGAGTCGAATGGAATTGAATGGAATGGAATGGACTAGAGTGAAATGGAATCGAACCACAAGGAATGGACAGGAATAGAATGGTCTCGAATTGAATGGAATCGTATGGAATGGCATCAAACGGAATGGAATGGACAGCCACGGAATGGAATGCACTCGAATGCAATGGAGTCGAAACTAATGGACTGGAATAGAATGGACTCGACTGGTACGGACTCCAATGGAATGGAATCGAATGGAAGGGAATCGAACGGAATGGACTCGAAGGGAAAAGACTGCAATGGAAAGGTCTCGAATGGAATGGAAATTAATGGAATGGAATGGAATCGAATGAAATGGAGTCAAAAGGAATGGAATCGAATGGCAAGAAATCGAATGTAATGGAATCGCCAGGAATTGATGTGAACGGAACGGAATGGAATGGAATCCAAAGGAATGGAATAGAATGGAATGGAATCGAATGGAAAGGACTCGAATGGAAATCACTCGAATAGAATGCAATTTAATAAAATAGGATCAAATGTAATGGAATGGAATGGAAAGGAATCGAAACGAAAGGAATGGAGACAGATGGAATGGAATGGAACAGAGAGCAATGGTATAGAACGGAATGGAATCATCTGGAATGGAATTGAATGGAATGGAATAATATGAAATGGAATGGAATGGAATGGAATGGAATGCCCTTGAATTAAATGGACTGGAATGGAATGGACTCAAACAGAGTGGAATGGAAAGTGTGGAGATAGAATGGAGTGAACTCCTTTGGAATGGTGTAGTATGCAATGCAATCGACTGGCAGGGAATCAAAAGGAATGTAATCGAATGGATTGGACTGGAATGCAATGGACTCGAATAGATTGGAAACGGAATGCAAAGGAATGGAATGGAATAGTATGGAATGCAATGGAAGGGAATGGAGTGGAATAGACTAGAGTGGAATGGAATGGACTGGAAAGCAATGGACTGGAATGGAACTTTCTTGGATGGACTGGAATCAAACGGAATGGAATGCAATGCAATCAAATGGCATGGAATAAATTAGAATGAAAGAGAATCAAATGGAATTGAATCGAATGGAATCGAATGGATTGGAAAGGAATAGAATGGAATGGAATGGAATTGACTCAAATGGAATGGACTAGAATGGAATGGATTCGAATGGAAGGCAAAGGAATGGAATCTATTGGAATGGAATGGAAGGGATTGGAATGGACTCGAATGGAATGGACTGCAATAGAAAGGATTCGAATGGAATGAAAAAGAATTGAATGGAATAGAACAGAATGGAATCAAATCGAATGAAATGGAATGGAATAGAAAGGAATGGAATGAAATGGAATGGAAAGGATTCGAATGGAATGCAATCGAATGGAATGGAATCGAACGGAATGGAATAAAATGGAAGAAAACTGGCAAGAAATGGAATCGAAATGAATGGAGTGTTATGGAACGGACTCAAAAGGAATTGAATGTAATAGAATGGAGTGGAGTGGACTCGAATATAATGGACTGGAATGGAATGAAATCACATGGAATGGGAACGAATGGAATGGAATGGAAAGGAATGGAATCGAATGGAAAGGAATCGAATGGAAGGGAATGAAATTGAATCAACACGAATGGAAGGGAATAGAATAGACTGTAATGGAATGGACTCGAATAGAACGGACACGAATGCTCAAATTAAATGGACTCGAATGGAATGGAAACGAAAGGAATGTCATCGAATGGAATTGAATCGATTGGAATGAAATCGCATAGAATGGAGTGGAATCAAATGGAATTGAATCGAAAGGAAAGGAAGCGAATGGACTGAAATGAAATGGAATGGAATTGAATGGAAAGTAATGCAATGGAATAGAATGGAACGAAATTTCACGGAATGGAATCAAACTGAATGGAGTCAAATCAATGGAATCAAATCAAATGGAATGGAAAGGAATTGAATGGAGTAGATGGGATTGGATGGGATTGGAATGAAATGTACTGGAAAGGACTCGAATTTCATGAAACGGAATGGAATGAATTGGAACGGAATGGACTCGAATGGAATGGAATGTCATGGGATGGCATCAAATGGAATGGCATCAAATGGAATGGAATCGAATGCAATGGAATGCTATGGAATGGAATGGAATGCATTGGAATGGAATGTCCTCTAATGGAATGGATTCGAGTGGAATGGAATTGAATATAATGGAGTCGAATGAAATGGAATTGAAAGGAATGGGATCGAATACAATGGAATATACTGGAATGTAATGTAATGAACTCGAATGTAATTGACTGGAATGGAATGTACATGAATGGAATGTAATCGAATGGAAAGTAATCCAATGGAATAGAATCTAATGCAATAAAATCGACTCAGATAGAGTAGAATGTAATGGAATGGAGTGCAGTGCAATGAATGGAATGGGAATGAATGCAATGGAATGGAATGGAATGGAATGGAATGGAATGGAATGGAATGAGATGGAATGGGATGGAATGGTATGGAATGGATAGTAATGGACTGGAGTGAAATGGACTGGAAAGGAATGGACTCAAATTGAAAGGTCTCGAAAGGAATGGAGTCAAATGGAATGGTCTGGAATGGAATGAACACGAATGTAATGCAACCCAATAGAATGGAATCGAATGGCATGGAATATAAAGAAATGGAATCGAAGAGAATGGAAACAAATGGAATGGAATTGAATGGAATGGAATTGAATGGAATGGGAACGAATGGAGTGAAATTGTATGCAGTAGAAGAGAATAGAATGGAATGCAAGCGAAAGGAAAGGAATGGATTGGAATGGAATGGAATTCATTGGAATGGAAGGGAATGTAGTGTAATGGACAGGCCTGGAATAAAGTGGAATGCTACGGTCTCGAATGGAATAAAAATGTATGGAATGGAATGCAATGAAACGGAATCGAATGTCATAGAATGTAATGGAATGCAAAAAAATGGAATCCAAAATCATTGACTGGAAAGGCTGGGTGTCGAAAGGAATTGACTCCAATGGAATGGAATCGAATGGAATGGAAGTGAATAGAATCGAACTAAATCGAATGGAATGGAATTGATAGGAACGGAATGGAAAGGAATGCAATGATTTGGCATGGAATGGAATCGAATGGCATCGAATGGAATGGAATGGAATGCAATGGAATGGAATGTATTAGAATGTAATGAACTTTAATGGAATGTACTCGAATGGATTCGACTGGAATGGAATGTTCTGGAAGTGAATGGACTCCAATGGAATGGATTCAAAAGGAATGGAATCGTACGGAATGGAATCTAATGGAATGGAATTAAATGGAAATGAATCAAATTGAATAGCACGGAATTGAATTGAATGGAATGGAATGCAATGGAATCTAATGAAACGGAAAGGAAAGGAATGGAATGGAATGGAATGGGCTGGAATGGAAAGGAATCGAAACGAATGGAATGGAATCGAACTGAAGAGACTGGAATGGAATGCACTGGAATGGAAGGGAGTGTAATGGAAGGTTCTCGAAAAAAATGGAATCGAATGGAATGGAATTGAATGGAACGGAATAGAGTCGAATGGAATTGAATGGAATGGAATGGACTAGAGTGAAATGGAATCGAACCACAAGGAATGGACAGGAATAGAATGGTCTCGAATTGAATGGAATCGTATGGAATGGCATCAAACGGAATGGAATGGACAGCCACGGAATGGAATGCACTCGAATGCAATGGAGTCGAAACTAATGGACTGGAATAGAATGGACTCGACTGGTACGGACTCCAATGGAATGGAATCGAATGGAAGGGAATCGAACGGAATGGAATCGAACGGAATGGACTCGAAGGGAAAAGACTGCAATGGAAAGGTCTCGAATGGAATGGAAATTAATGGAATGGAATGGAATCGAATGAAATGGAGTCAAAAGGAATGGAATCGAATGGCAAGAAATCGAATGTAATGGAATCGCCAGGAATTGATGTGAACGGAACGGAATGGAATGGAATCCAAAGGAATGGAATAGAATGGAATGGAATCGAATGGAAAGGACTCGAATGGAAATCACTCGAATAGAATGCAATTTAATAAAATAGGATCAAATGTAATGGAATGGAATGGAAAGGAATCGAAACGAAAGGAATGGAGACAGATGGAATGGAATGGAACAGAGAGCAATGGTATAGAATGGAATGGAATCATCTGGAATGGAATTGAATGGAATGGAATAATATGAAATGGAATGGAATGGAATGGAATGGAATGCCCTTGAATTAAATGGACTGGAATGGAATGGACTCAAACAGAGTGGAATGGAAAGTGTGGAGATAGAATGGAATGAACTCCTTTGGAATGGTGTAGTATGCAATGCAATCGACTGGCAGGGAATCAAAAGGAATGTAATCGAATGGATTGGACTGGAATGCAATGGACTCGAATAGATTGTAAACGGAATGCAAAGGAATGGAATGGAATAGTATGGAATGCAATGGAAGGGAATGGAGTGGAATAGACTAGAGTGGAATGGAATGGACTGGAAAGCACTGGACTGGAATGGAACTTTCTTGGATGGACTGGAATCAAACGGAATGGAATGCAATGCAATCAAATGGCATGGAATAAAATAGAATGAAAGAGAATCAAATGGAATTGAATCGAATGGAATCGAATGGATTGGAAAGGAATAGAATGGAATGGAATGGAATTGACTCAAATGGAATGGACTAGAATGGAATGGATTCGAATGGAAGGCAAAGGAATGGAATCTATTGGAATGGACTGTAATGGAATGGAATGGAAGGGATTGGAATGGACTCGAATGGAATGGACTGCAATAGAAAGGATTCGAATGGAATGAAAAAGAATTGAATGGAATAGAACAGAATGGAATCAAATCGAATGAAATGGAATGGAATAGAAAGGAATGGAATGAAATGGAATGGAAAGGATTCGAATGGAATGCAATCGAATGGAATGGAATCGAACGGAATGGAATAAAATGGAAGAAAACTGGCAAGAAATGGAATCGAAATGAATGGAGTGTTATGGAACGGACTCAAAAGGAATTGAATGTAATAGAATGGAGTGGAGTGGACTCGAATATAATGGACTGGAATGGAATGAAATCACATGGAATGGGAACGAATGGAATGGAATGGAAAGGAATGGAATCGAATGGAAAGGAATCGAATGGAAGGGAATGAAATTGAATCAACACGAATGGAAGGGAATAGAATAGACTGTAATGGAATGGACTCGAATAGAACGGACACGAATGCTCAAATTAAATGGACTCGAATGGAATGGAAACGAAAGGAATGTCATCGAATGGAATTGAATCGATTGGAATGAAATCGCATAGAATGGAGTGGAATCAAATGGAATTGAATCGAAAGGAAAGGAAGCGAATGGACTGAAATGAAATGGAATGGAATTGAATGGAAAGTAATGCAATGGAATAGAATGGAACGAAATTTCACGGAATGGAATCAAACTGAATGGAATCAAATCAATGGAATCAAATCAAATGGAATGGAAAGGAATTGAATGGAGTAGATGGGATTGGATGGGATTGGAATGAAATGTACTGGAAAGGACTCGAATTTCATGAAACGGAATGGAATGAATTGGAACGGAATGGACTCGAATGGAATGGAATGTCATGGGATTGCATCAAATGGAATGGCATCAAATGGAATGGAATCGAATGCAATGGAATGCTATGGAATGGAATGGAATGCATTGGAATGGAATGTCCTCTAATGGAATGGATTCGAGTGGAATGGAATTGAATATAATGGAGTCGAATGAAATGGAATTGAAAGGAATGGGATCGAATACAATGGAATATACTGGAATGTAACGTAATGAACTCGAATGTAATTGACTGGAATGGAATGTACATGAATGGAATGTAATCGAATGGAAAGTAATCCAATGGAATAGAATCTAATGCAATAAAATCGACTCAGATAGAGTAGAATGTAATGGAATGGAGTGCAGTGCAATGGAATGGAATGGAATGGAATGCAATGGAATGGAATGGAATGGAATGTAATGGAATGGAATGTAATGGAATGGGATGGAATGGTATGGAATGGATAGTAATGGACTGGAGTGAAATGGACTGGAAAGGAATGGACTCAAATTGAAAGGGCTCGAAAGGAATGGAGTCAAATGGAATGGTCTGGAATGGAATGAACACGAATGTAATGCAACCCAATAGAATGGAATCGAATGGCATGGAATATAAAGAAATGGAATCGAAGAGAATGGAAACAAATGGAATGGAATTGAATGGAATGGAATTGAATGGAATGGGAACGAATGGAGTGAAATTGTATGCAGTAGAAGAGAATAGAATGGAATGCAAGCGAAAGGAAAGGAATGGATTGGAATGGAATGGAATTC